>NC_000002.12:18418846-18570361 GCF_000001405.40 Homo sapiens | reverse complement strand
TTTGTTGTTGTTTTTCTTGGTCAGTTTGGCCAGAAGTAAATCAATTTTCCTGAGCCAGCTGTTCCTAAGTTTTCAAATGTGGAAGCTGAGACTGTTAATTTGAAACCTCTCTTCTTTTCTAATATAAGCACTTAATGCTATAAATTTTCCTCTAAACACCGCTGTAGTTGCATCCCACAAATTTTGATAGATGATTTTTTTTTATTTAATTCAAAATATATTTTTTAAATTTCTCTGTAATTTCCTCTTTGAAGGAAATAGGTTAGAAGTAGGTTATTTAATTATCATATATTTGGAGTTTATTCAGATATCTTTCTATTGTTGAAACAAAGCTTAACTCTGTTGTGTTGTGATTAGAAAACATATTTTGTATCTCAATTATTTAAATTTGTTGTGGTATGTTTTATGCCAAGAATATGGTCTATCTTGATGAATATGTCATGTGTATTTGAAAAGAATATTCTGTTGTCATTAAGTATTCTATAAATGTCAATCAGATTATGTAAATTAATTCAGGTCATATTGCTTGGGTTTTCTATATTGTCAGTAATTTTCTGTCTACTTGCTTTATGTACTATTGAGAAGGCAATGTTGAAATCTCCAAATATATTTGAGAATTTATCTATTTATCCTTTCAATTTTATCAGTTTTGTATCATGTATTTTGAATCTCTGTTTTTAGGTGCCTACATATTTAGGATTATTATATTGTCTTAATCTTAATTAATATCTTTTCATTATGTAATATTCATCTGATACTCATATAATCACTCCAGCTTTTTTGGGGGGGCTAATGTTTGTATGATATGATTTTTCTATACTTTTATCTATGTCTTTATATTTAAATTGTGTTTATATTTAACTTATTTTTCTTATAGATATTACAGTTGGTGCTGCTATTTTATACAATCTGGCAATCCCTGTGTTTTAATTGCTGTTTTTAGGACATTTAAATTTAATGTGATCATTGCTTTGGTTGGATTAAAATCTACTATCTTCCTATGTTTTTTCTGTGTTCCAACTGTTCTTAGTCCCCTTTTTCTTTTCTTTTTTCCCCTATTTACTTACAGACTTATTGTGTGTTTTTACGTTCCATTTTATCTCCACTATTGGCTTATGACTCATTTAAAATTTTTTATTAGTTACGCTAGTGTTTACAATATACAACTTTAAGTAATCACAGTCTATTGTCAATGTTATACTCTACAACATCATATGTACTGTAAGAACCTTGCAACAACGAACTGCCAAACTCTGCCTCTCATGTTTTGTGCTACAGTTGTCATATATTATTTTATCTATTCTATAAACTCTCTATACTTTGCTACTGTGAACCTCAAAAATCTGAAACAGGTCTCAGTTAATTTAGAAAGTTTATTTTGACAAGGTTGAGGATACGCATGCATGGCACAGCCTCAGGAGGATCTGACGACATGTGCCCAAGGTGGTCAGAGCACAGTTTGGTTTTATTCATTTAAGGGAGATATGAGATATTAATCAACATATGTAACATGAACATTGGTTCGGTCTGGAAAGGCAGGACAGCTTGAAGCAAAGGTAGGAAGACTCCAAGCGGGTTTGAGTTTCTGATTAGCCTCTCCAAAGGAGGCAATCAGATATGTAGTTATCTCAGTGAGCATAGGGGTGACTTTGAATAGAATGGGAGGCAGGTTGTCTCTAAGCTGTTACAGGCTTGACTTTTCCCTTTAGCTTAGTGACCTGGGGACTGCAACATTTATTTTTCTTTTCCACTACTATTTCTGTTTTTGGCAATTAAATACCGTCTAGTAAATAAGGATGAGGCAAAAATATGTATTTCATATTCAAATTCCTTTTAATCATTTTCAGAGATCTTCCTTTCTTTGTGTAGATCAGGTTTTTCTCTGTTATCATATTCCTTCTGCCAGGAGATCTTTTGTTTTATTTTGTTTTGTTTAACATTTCATGTCGTACAAATCTACTGGTACTGAATCTCTGTTTTTCTTTGCCTAAAAAGTTTTAATCTTATTTAGTTTTTAAAACAATATTTTATTTTTACTGAATGTAGTATTCTGGGTTTACTGTGTGTTTCTCCCAGCACTTTAAAGATGCTCTTCCATTGTCTTCTCATTTGTATAGATTTTGATGACAAATGTTATGAATTTTGTATCTTTGGTCCTTAGTATGTAATGTGTCTGTTTTTGTCTGGCTGCCTTCATAATTGTCTATATTTCCTTTGGTTTGAATATGAGAGGGGAGTGTGTGTGTGTGTGTGTGTGTGTGTGTGTGTGTGTGTCCCACAGCATTTCAATGCTCTGCTCTTTTTTCCCCACTCTTTTTTTCTCTTTCTCTTTTCAGTTTGGGCAATTTCTATTGACCTGTCTTCAAGTTCACTCATTATTTCTTCAGCTGTGTTGAGTCTACTGACACATCCATTAGGCACTCTTTATATAGTTCCATTCAACTCTTTTCATTTCAATCTCTTTGCCAAAATTGCTAGTCTACTCATGTATGGTATCCACCTTTAAAGTAGACATTTAAAGATATTAATCACAGTTATTTTCAATTCCCTCTGTTATATTTGTGACACTTGGGTCATTACTAAGTCTAGTTCTTTTAATTTCTCCTAAAAGTAGATTGTTCATTTTGTTTTGTTCTGTTTTACTGTGGGACTAGCAATTATTGTGATAGATTGAATCAATCAAATCAGGTATTAAAGTTGTTTTAGGTTTTGTGGTTGCTATGGTTATCTTCATGGCACCACAGGATCCAAGTTTGTCTGGTATCAACTTTGTTCTTAGGGTGCAAACTGGCTTACCAGAGGGTTTTTCTCAAGATTTCTAGTCGACTTTCAGCAGCAGGCCTTCCCTGTGTGTCTGCTGCAGAGAAGGTCTCCTCATTCTTACCCCTTCCCAGCTATTTCTTCTATCTTCCTAGGGCTTAGGGATGAACATCCTGGATCTTGCCATGCCCCAGTGATAGCCAATATCTAATGGTACCAATCCTTGATAGTCTCTTATTCTCCCAAAGTTAGAATGTTTTCTTCTGTAACAGTGGATCTTTACTCATGCCCTGGAGGATAACAGTGTTTGAAGCTCTTCTAGCAGTCTAGGCTCTTTGTTCCTGAGGGTATAAGCAACTAGGGGGAGTTTTAGTCTTTGCCCCCAGTGGCAGCTGCTCCCCTCCTCCACACCTGTACCATCAAGGATGGCTTTATTCTATCACCCCACTGCCTGCAGTCTTTGTCATCAGCATCTAGTGAAGTCCATGGAGAAAAGCCTAAAAGAGAGTGTGTACTTCTTGTGCCTGTGGATCCTAGGGCTTCTATGCTCTCTCATTGGTGGACCCTAGTTCTTTGTCAATGTCTTTTTGAAATTACTTGAATTGCTTGTACTTGCTTGTATGGAAGCTGGTATAACTTTCTTCAACACTCTACCAAAAGTACACAGTTCTTGCACTCCATGTCTTCTTGAAGATGACTGTTTTTCCCTAGTTTTCATGCTAGGTGGTTACCCTGCAATCTCAGCTCTTTGATGGGCTCAAGAAAAGTTATTTTTTAGATTGGAGTTTTCTTGTTATTAGGGTGGGAGTAACAGTCTCTCCCTAGTATTTGCTTTTTGTAAGCTTCCCTAGTATTGTTATATTTTTATTGATAAATTATATGCTGTACTACTGTGCAAATGTATAAATTATAAAACATACCCCAATATAGAAGTAAAAGAGAATGAGATGGGTACTTGGTTTGAATGTGGTGACATAACTCAGCATTCTCTGTTTCTTCCATTTGGAAATCATCCAAAAACAGCAAGGGAAACTGTGCCCCTCTGTGTTTTAAAGACTAACTGCAATGAGGGTGGTTCCTGCCAACAGTCACTATGAGTTTTCTGCTTTTGTCATAAAAACAGTCCCAGTTTTTTCACCTATATGTATGGCCTCTTACCGTGAGAAAGCAAATTTACTTGTTTTTTTCTAAGATATACAACCTTAAAGAAAATTTAAGCAAATGGTTACACAATAAGTCATGTTTACAGAAAACTGTTTGTTTCCATGACAGCAAAGAAGGGAGCCTTTGAATCATGAAAACAAGTCAGTCTCCAAATACTACCCTTGACCTTCCCCTAGAAACCCACCAATTATCCCAAGAAAAACCAGTCTACTTCAGTATAAGTAATAATAAAAAGAGAGCTGACATTGAATACATTCAAAGATACTATGAGAAAAAGGCAGATTAAAAAAGAAAAAAATCTAATAACAGATGAAGAGCTCTTACAAGAAAAAGTTGACATAATACAGATAATTATGACTGAACATTTGCCATGACTTTTAAAGACTTAAAGCAAGATCATAAAGTAAAAATGCAATAGTCAAGGAAGACATGATAAAATGTGAAAGTTATAGAATGCTGTAAATCTTTCGTCCCTTCCAATAGAGTTATTACCCATCTGTTACTGTTAAAAATACAATTACATATAGAAAAATGACAGAAATAGATAACAGGTAAAGAAGACCCAGCATATGCCTAAGTAGAATCCCTGAAGAAAAACTTTAAAATCATGTTGGGGGAGGGGGACTGATGTTAAATATAAAGATGCAAATTAATGTAAAAATATAAATTAAAAACTGCTAAATTATCAAAGATGTTTATATATATTAAATGATTAAAATATTAAAGATTAAAAGCCCATATTGTATGACAGAGGTATAGAATCAAAATGACCATCACTGAGACATGGCCTAGTGAAATTACTGGGCTTCAAAATGAAGAAATAATTATCTGGGCTGCCTACTCATGTAAGTGATGGAAGAGGTGGCATGGCAATCAAGAGGCCCTCAAACTTCTCAAGAGCAGCATTCAAAAGCAAAAGACAGTGGAGCACTACTTATAAGATCTTGTGGAGAATCTTATATGTAAATCATGGATTCTATATCTAGCCAAAAGTTTATTCAAGGACAGAGGAAATAGATATATAGTTGAGAATATACTATATTCTCAGGGATTATTACCATAAGATGTTTTTGAGAAAATCAGTACTACAGGACAAATTTCGGCCAACATGCAGAGGACTAGAAGCACAAAGGCACAAATGGTCATATAATATACTTAACCATAGAATTAAAACTAAAACAACCGTACAAATGAACAAATTTGTATGATGTACAAATTATGTAACTAACAAAAAATGGAAAAATATGGGGAAAGAAGGTCTACGGAAGAAGTATGCTGGAATTTTCAGTTACAATAGCCAATCAAAGGATGAAATGTAAACTTGATAAACAGAAATAAAACAAAATGTAATAATGCAAAAGAAACACCAAGGAAAAGTAAATAAATGACTAAAATTAGATGGTGGAGAAGAAATAGAGGACTACAGAGACATTGAAGAAATGCCCTGCTTTCATTATTTCTCATTATGAAGAATAATAGATCTGGGATTCTTTTTAAAATAGAGGACTGAGGGTACTATAAAAGGTTATAGTTGTAAAGGTAATTTATAGAAGGAAATAATGTAAACCTTCTTAAATGTCAGAAGAACCACCCACACACAACTACAAAGAAGAAAGACACAGATTATTGAACAATCCTTTAAAAATTTTAAAACATGGAAAATGCAATAAAAACCATAAGACAGAAACAATCTCAAGTATGTTTGTAATATGAATAAATGTAAATGAACAAAAACTTAACTATTGTTTTAAAAAATAAGATTTTCAGGTTGTATCACATAGCAAAATCCAATTCTAGGCTCTGTACAAGAGATACTAAAACCAAGTGTTTGGAAAGGTTAAAAATGAAAGACACAGTTAGATTCAAGCCAAACAGCATTAAACTAGACAAAAGCATATACTTCATAAAGTTAAAATGCACAATTCACAAAAAGCAAATTAAAAGAGTAGTGCTTTGGTAACTAATTAGAGTTTATTTAGAGTGACCCTCTATTCCAGCTTACCATGGATAGTTTATGTCTGTTGTCCTGGCTTAAGTATTTATTGAACATTCTTTCATACCTAAAGTATATAGGTTTACATGTTAAATAATATGGTCATTTTAGGCACATTCCAGGAATGCAAGGATGGTTCTATATCAGAAAACATATTCACATAAATTCCTATCAAGTTTTAGCATTTTGCCATCAGCTTCATAACACTGCATGTCATGCTGTATTATATCCTTTGTATTGTATCGTATCATATAGGTCTCTGCTTTTTAGCATTCACTTTCTTTGGCTCACTGTATCACAGCTGTGATATATGTTCCTTTTACAGGGTCCCCTAAAAGGCTTTCTGGAAGATTTAGGCAGACTGCAAAAGAAGTTCTATGCCAAAAATGAACGGTTACTTTGTCCTATCAGGACCTACCTGGTTACAGCTAGGAGTGCAGCCAGTTCAGGCGCCCGTGTGCTGAAGACCCTTCGACGCTGGGGTCTAGAGATAGACGAAGCTCTTTTCCTTGCTGGAGCCCCCAAAAGTCCCATCTTGGTGAAGATCCGGCCCCACATCTTCTTTGATGACCACATGTTCCACATTGAAGGGGCACAGAGGTTAGGTTCCATCGCAGCTTATGGCTTTAATAAAAAATTCAGTAGTTAGGGGCAGGGAGGAGAAATAAAGTGGTGATAGTCTGGTGTTACAGAAGCCACTTCTTTTGGCTCTCTAGGATAATTAGATAGGTATTTCAGAAAATTGGACCTTAAAACTTTGCTTCTTTGGAAAGGTTTTCTCCTGATTTTTTGGAAAACCTTTTGAACCCTCAAGTTACCATCAAACTACTTCTCTTTGAACTACCAATACTGTTGAATGCCATTACACCTATCTCTGTGTAAGTCATAATGATGACTCTTTAGGATAAGTTTAGAACTTGAATATTTGCATGCTTAAGGCACTGTTTTAGAAGCTTACTTAGTTTTATAAACACTGCTCATTTTTGGATGTTTGTAGATAACAATGAATTGTTACCCATCAGCATTGTAGAATAGTGTCTTCAAAGGTAGAAGGAGTATGGTTAAGCACACTCTTGAAAACTGGAGCTTTGTATTCTGTGACTGCTATGGCTAGCTTTGTAACCAAAGCAAAATGAGAATTTCACTCTACCTGCATGAGTATAACAATTTTGATACTGCTCATTTAGAAATAAATCATCTGGTTGTTCCTCCAGGGTACTTTCTAAGATAAGCCTTAAACAGAAACCCCTAAGAAAGGTTCTCTGAAAATTATTTGGTGGGTTAAATGCCTCTGATCCACAGAGTTTCATATTTGAAGTCTCCGGCTTTGGGCCTGGCAGGCTGGCACATCCATATTTGTATGGAAAAAAAAAAAAAAGACCCTACGCTACCACTTCAAAAAGTGACATGAAGTGTAGTATCCTGGCCCTTCATTGTCATTCTCTCATGATTTTTGTTTTGTTTTCAACAAAAATTGGTTGGTCATTAAATATATCATATGTTAGGCACAGTGACCTGGTTATTTTCACATGTTACTTCATTTTCTTATCAAATTAAATGTTTGTGACATAGTATTATTATTACCTTCCTTTTTATCAATGAGGAGCCTAAGATTCAAAAAGATTAGACAGCTTGTTTAAGGATATGGAGCTAATAAGTGTTAAGACTAATTAGATTCAAATTCAAATCTTACTTCATAAGTTATAATGAGGTCTCTTTCCTCCCTTCCAAATAGAGTTATTAATTTCATGGCCTTTGGACCCATCTGGTACAGATTAATCATTTCATTAAGTTCCATGCATAAACTACACAGCAGTTACACTGCAGGTCTAAGGATTCCTCCCTCCTCTTTTCCTCCTACCCTCTCCTGCTCTCTCTACCTCCACCTTCATCTCTACTCCACCTGTACATATGTATTCCACCCCTGGCTCTAGATGAGAGAAGACCACAGCTGAAACACATCTTCTGATGCTCCCTAATTTTATGTAAACCAGTCCAAAATATATCAGTTGTGACATGTGACACTGAGTACCTACCATTTTGTAGGTGTCCTCCCATGCAAAGACCACAAGAGGTACGCAGACACAATCCTATCCTCTAGGAAACTTGAAACCTTAACAATCTGGTCAAGGAAGTCAAATGTGCAAACTCAAACAGCCAATACTAGAAGGCTGTTTGTCTTCAGTGCCAGTGAGGGTCACACATGACCCTGAGGGTCACACATGAAGGGAGCAGAGATCTTTATAGGCTGGAAGTGGTCAGGAAAGAAAGACTTGAGGTAGCCTGTGATTTTGATGGATGGGCAAGATGTGGATGGGTAGAAAGGACAATAAAGTGGAAACATATGCTGGGGGATCAATGAGTTTGAGTAGCAGCTTCAAATTGGGGATAGGGTGGTGTAGGACCACCTCTCATGATTCCTGTTCCTGGTGCCTTGTATAATCCCCAGTAAGAGTGCTCTTTCCCACCTCTGAGCTCCATTCTCATTACTCATAAGAAACCTCCTGGAATCCATCCCTTTTTCTTTGTATTCTGACTATTAGTTGCATGTTACATCCTTCCCAAATGTAAGGGAGTGGAAGATGGATTATCACAATTATTGGGGAGTTTGTCTCAAACGACACAAGCTGTGGTTCTTTTTCCTTGTCTGGAGAACCTGCAATGGGTGGAGGGTGGGAAGTGGGAGATCACAGTTCCAGAAAGTAAGCACCCTGAGAGCAGAAATGGTGTCCCATTTCTCTGTGGCTCTAACAGGGAACAGGCAGGGCCAGGCACATATTGGATGGAGAGGCAGACGAACGAATGAGTCTTTAAAAGTAGCTTGGTCTACAGCTATGAAGTTTGTAGCTTGAAGAAGGGTCCCTGTGACACTAACCCTGATATTAATGAGGCATTTTACAGTGAGCCAAGCACTTTGCCTTCCATCGTTGTGTGTAATAGTCCTATGGAGAGGGCAGGGAGGCATTTGTAAATGGCCTGCTCAGAAGCCTATATTTACAATAAGTCCAAGCTTTTCCCACTGTACCTCTGCCAGTGTGAAGATCATTTGAAGATGGCTTTCTTTTTTTTAATAGGGACCAATGACATAATGTCTTGTTCAGTGGTTCTCAAAGTGTGGTTCCCAGATCTGCAGCAGCAGCAGCACCTGGAAACTTGTTAAAAGTGCAAATTATCAGGCCCCATCCTGTACCTATTGAATTAGAAACTCTAATACTGGGGCCCTGGTTTTTTGTTTTCGTTTTGTTTCATTCCCCCACCCCGAACCCCCACCCCAAGTCCTCCAGGTGATTCTGATGTGCATTTAAGTTTGAGAACTACTCGACCATTCTATTTCCAACTGATTCATGTTGCTTAATTCTTTGTCTCATCTATGAAAAACAGTCCTACCTCAGACTTCAGCTTGTCAGGGCCCATTCCTCAGAAGGTGAATTGAACTGAATTTACAAGTCCCAAGAGCCCTCAAAGGAAAACACACGAAATGCCCTGAGGAGTGGCATTTGTAACAGGGCCTGTACAGAGATCTGTGATTCAAAGTACTCATCAGACATTCCCATGGGGAAGTCCGCCACTACTCTGGGATTTCAATACGTATGAACCCCAGCACCCTGAACACTGTGCTGGTTGCCCAGCCTCCATCATTAGGCTGGGAGGAGCTTCCACGGAGGGCGCAGGACCCAGGGCGCTGAACTCTCACAACCAATCAGGCGACCCCCCCAGAGGGAAACTACAAGTCCCAGCATGCCCCACGCGCACCGTCAGGGGCCGACCCGCCGCGCCCCAGCGTTCTCCGCGTACAGGTGGTCTCTTGGGTTCCGGTAAGGCGGCGGCTGCGGAACTCCCGTGGAGGGGCCGGTGGGCCCTCGGGCCTGACGATGGCAGTGGCCACTGCGGCGGCAGTACTGGCCGCTCTGGGCGGGGCGCTGTGGCTGGCGGCCCGCCGGTTCGTGGGGCCCAGGGTCCAGCGGCTGCGCAGAGGCGGGGACCCCGGCCTCATGCACGGGAAGACTGTGCTGATCACCGGGGCGAACAGCGGCCTGGGCCGCGCCACGGCCGCCGAGCTACTGCGCCTGGGAGCGCGGGTGATCATGGGCTGCCGGGACCGCGCGCGCGCCGAGGAGGCGGCGGGTCAGCTCCGCCGCGAGCTCCGCCAGGCCGCGGAGTGCGGCCCAGAGCCTGGCGTCAGCGGGGTGGGCGAGCTCATAGTCCGGGAGCTGGACCTCGCCTCGCTGCGCTCGGTGCGCGCCTTCTGCCAGGAAATGCTCCAGGTGTGGGCCTCGGGGGGCCGGGCTGGTGGGGAGGGCCTGGGCACGGTGTGGGAGGGGACTGCGGGCTGGGGCTGAGCCGCGAGGGACCGCCCTGGGGTTCAGGGTGTCACCTTGGGAACCGCTGAGGCTGAGAGGAGTCCAAAAAGCCACTTTGAGGCGGCCGGGAAGCTGCAGGGTTGAGAGGGAAAGAGAAACTAACTGGGAGGGCTGCCTTCTGTCCTCTAAGGATGTCGAAAAAGAAATGGGCCCAAGAGAAAAATAAATAAACCAGTTTCTGAACGTTTCATTTCGTTACGTGAGGACCGCCCCGAAGTAGATCCATGGCCTCTGAATTGTTTTTCCTGTGTCAGAAGTGAATTTGCACCAAGCTGTGTCTTCAGAACCCCTGAGCACTGGGGGAAGTTGCTAGCTAAGGACCTCATATCAGTCCTTTAAAAAAAGTTCTCCTTCCCCCGGCCTCTGCCCCTTTTCTGCTGGGGTAAGGAGCTCGCTGCCACCAGTAAACTCAGCACCATCCTTAACGGGACTGTGGCCTGATTTCCAAGTAGAATACATTTTGGAACCCAGTGGTCATGCTCCATACAGAGACAGGAATAAAAATAACACCCAGCATTATTGAAGATCTGTATGCCAGGAGCTGTGCCAAGCATTTCAGATTTTCCTTTTTGTCTTAAATGAAAATGAAGTGTCCTTGCCTATAACTGTCATTGAAGCTACACAGTAACCCTGTGGAGTAGGCATTATTATCATCCCTGTTTTACAACGCGAGGAAACTGAGGCATAGGAAGGCTAAGAAACTTGCTTGTGGTCTGTCTCCAGAACACTTGCTTTTAACCCTTGTTCTTTCCTCCTGCTGCCTGGCAGTGAGGTGTGAGGATTTCTTTGTGCAAATGGTAAGTAATTCCACATAAGTGGATGTTCTCCGTTGAGATTGAGGTAGAAGAGTTTCTTGCAGGGATAACTGGCATTCAGAGGGCATTTGTTCAGAAGAGTGAAATTTAAAATTAGCTGGGACAAGAAAGGTGCCTATATGACGTAGAGTCTCTTGAGTCTAGAGAAGAGGTTCCCAAATTTTCTCAGTAATTTTTTCATGATGCCCTTAGGCCAGAAATATTTCCCAGTTCATTTATTTAGAAAGTTTATTTTGCCAAGGTTAAGGATGCACCCGTGGCAGAACCTCAGGCGGTCCTGAGGACATGTGCCCAAGGTGGTCGGGGCACAGCTTGGTTTTATACATTTTAGGGAGACATGAGACATCAATCACATATGTAAGGTATACATTGGTTCTCCTGGAAAAGTGGGACAACTCGAAGTGGGGGCTTCCAGGTCATAGGTAGATGGGAGACAAAAGGTTGCATTCTTTTGGGTCTTTGATTAGCCTTTTACTGAATACAATTTACATGTGCAGGAGGGATAGAGGAATAATCACTTATGTCTTAGACTGGCTCAGTGAGTCTGCATTTTCACATAAACAATACGGCAGAGTCAGCAATCAGATAAGCATTTATCTCAGGTGAGCAGAAGGATGACTTTAGAGTTCTGTCTTTTGTTTGGCACTTGTGAAGATGAGCTATCAATTTATGAATACATTGCCAGGGTGAAATTCAACAGAAGTGTTTTAGGGTAAAGATCTTGAGGCCCATGTGGGCAAATTATGAGGGTGATATGTAGCTTCTTTTTCTTTGTAGCTATCTTATTTAGGAATAAAATGGGAGGCAGGTTTGTCTGAGGCAGTTCCCAGCTTGACTTTAACCTTTGACTTAGTGATTTTGGGTTCTGAGATTTATTTTCCTTTGACACAACCTAATAAGTAGTTATGTCCTAACAACTTAGTAGCTATTTGAGAAGATAACATAATTGAAAGAAAAAAATAATATGTTTATTTTGTTCTTAAACAGCCATAACTACTAATGGGAAATGTATCTCTGTTGGTCATTACACCAGTGTCTGAAACCTTGGAATCAGATTGGACACTTCCACCCTCATTTCCTGTTCTAGGTAGATTTTTAGCATTGTTCTTGTTTTTTATTACAGCAACTGCTAACAGCTGCTTAAAAGTCAGCTCCACAAAGAAATAATGTCATTGAAAGGAATATAGCACAATGTAATGTTCAAGCTGTGAACCACCTGGAGCTAGTAGTTTTGAGGTATTGAGCAAATATCACTGTGTTTCCCTCGAAAATTTAAAATATTCCACAACACCCTGAGAGTTTGCTGCAATGCTGTAGGCCACAGTTCGGGAGCTGTTGCAGAACTAGAGAGTTGGTTTTTTGTTTATTGCTAGTATTTAATTATGTGTAACACAGGTTAAGAAATAATACTCATCAGTGAGATTTTGGAAGCATTAAAGATGGATCTTTCTGTTCCTCTTTAAAATATAGATGGGGCTGGGTTTGCTTCTTTGGCACTTGAGGCAGAACTAATTAAAAAGTGAGGACACAAAGAGATAATTAAGTTGTCCTTGCTTCTAAGTAAGTATTTCTGTTCCTGCCTGGCTCTGAAGTTAAGTGACTATAATTAGAAGGAAAAAAAAATGGAAATGTAGATTTCCCACAGGTTGGTATTCTTGGTATTTATTTCATTTATCTCGTAGAATTTAAAAAAATAGTAAATGACAAAATTTTAAAATAACACAAGCCCAGCAAAGAATGCTGGATAACAAATGATTAATTCAGGAAAATCTTCCAAAGGATTTGTGAAAAAGAATACTCCTTTCTTTCCCCCATGAGTGAACTCTTGCCTTCTTTTTGAAGTTGACTATTGGAAAACCCAAAGATGCTTAGACAGGGCAGAATGAGAAATAGTTAATCCTCTGACAGGTGGGCTTCGATAACAGTTGTGAAATGTAACACATTTTTCTTTTCACTTATAGTTGGCAGAAGGGCCAGTGAAATTTGAAAGTTGACCTCATATTAATCATGGGTCATCACAGTGTCTTTACACTTGGAACATGTGCATTTCTTTGTCCATCAAAAGAAACAGAACAACCGAGAAAAGGCTAGAGAAGACCATCTTACATGATTTAAGGAATAAAAAGACTTCCCTATGAGAACAGTCTAAATTTTAGGACTTTAATTTGGAAAGATACAGAAGCATAAGTTCAGAGTATAAAATGTTGACTGTACAGATCTCCTAGAGTCCCCTTTACGCTGGATATTTTTATATTACCTGATTATTTTTTTCTTAATCTTTGATTATTCTTTATGAATCTCGATTTATTCATGATGTTCTCTCCAGTGTTAAGTTTGCATTTCTGACCTTTTCTATTGCTTGTTTCACTTTTAAGGAAATGACTTGAAGTTGTTCCACCCCCATGGTGCCATTTACCCTGAGAGAACTACAGAATAAAGCAACCATAAGTTTGCCCTTGGTGTTGATAACCAGTAGCTCTGGGAATAAACTATGCTTACCTGTTTTCTACAGCATATGGTCTGTCTAGCTTTCATTGCCTCTCTAGCTGTTTTGAAAATCCCAATTAGAAAGCCATGCCAGCTTACTAATTAAGAAAATAGGCCTTGGTGTCAAAGACTTCATCTTCAGATCTGATCTTATTTTGCTACTTAGGAGTTCTGATACTGGGCAAGTCACCTAGCCTGTGAGCTTCATTTGCTTATACAGTTGTTGGAATTAGATGTGGTGACATGCGAAAAGCACAAAGCCTGGCTCCTATCAAGCTTCTGCATCTATTTTTTTTTCTATTTTTCTCTCAATTATTGGAAGCTCATAGAAGCATTTTGGGATAGAATTTTAGTAGTTTGCAAGTATTTTTAAACATTTTATCATAGGTACACTTATAATTTTGATATGATCTCAGTATTAACCTGATAACTCCCAAATTGATATTTTCCTAGTTCAACTGAAATTAAAGGGAGAAATATGGGATTGTAGGAGTGCCTTGTCCTCAAATTGACTGTATTTCTGTTTTGAGAAAGATCTTGGTACTGATCACGTAGTCAACTTTCTAATGCAATGTTAAAGTTTATATATTTGTAAATGTTATTGTTATAAAAGCATAAAACCAGAAATTAAGTCTTAGATTTAGTTTCTACATCTTTTATTGGAAGATGACTGTAGATAAATATCTTTCTGTATATCATTTTAATAAATGAGAAAAAAGAGCTGTTGAATGAAAGATCATGAACATCAGTATTTATCTGAGGAACATCCTGCGGAGGAATCCCTTTCCCCATTTATTAAACACAAAATTGCCAGTGTTTCAAGTAGTTCTCTGATCGATAGACCAACAACTGAAATTAAATGCTTTTAGTCTCAAGTGCCCATTTTTATTAAAATGTAATTATCATGAACAGAAAAAGCAATACAAGGCGTGTGTTCTTAATAATTCTGCCATTCTCTTTTTGACATTTAAAGGAAGAGCCTAGGCTGGATGTCTTGATCAATAACGCAGGGATCTTCCAGTGCCCTTACATGAAGACTGAAGATGGGTTTGAGATGCAGTTCGGAGTGAACCATCTGGGGCACTTTCTACTCACCAATCTTCTCCTTGGACTCCTCAAAAGTTCAGCTCCCAGCAGGATTGTGGTAGTTTCTTCCAAACTTTATAAATACGGAGACATCAATTTTGATGACTTGAACAGTGAACAAAGCTATAATAAAAGCTTTTGTTATAGCCGGAGCAAACTGGCTAACATTCTTTTTACCAGGGAACTAGCCCGCCGCTTAGAAGGCACAAATGTCACCGTCAATGTGTTGCATCCTGGTATTGTACGGACAAATCTGGGGAGGCACATACACATTCCACTGTTGGTCAAACCACTCTTCAATTTGGTGTCATGGGCTTTTTTCAAAACTCCAGTAGAAGGTGCCCAGACTTCCATTTATTTGGCCTCTTCACCTGAGGTAGAAGGAGTGTCAGGAAGATACTTTGGGGATTGTAAAGAGGAAGAACTGTTGCCCAAAGCTATGGATGAATCTGTTGCAAGAAAACTCTGGGATATCAGTGAAGTGATGGTTGGCCTGCTAAAATAGGAACAAGGAGTAAAAGAGCTGTTTATAAAACTGCATATCAGTTATATCTGTGATCAGGAATGGTGTGGATTGAGAACTTGTTACTTGAAGAAAAAGAATTTTGATATTGGAATAGCCTGCTAAGAGGTACATGTGGGTATTTTGGAGTTACTGAAAAATTATTTTTGGGATAAGAGAATTTCAGCAAAGATGTTTTAAATATATATAGTAAGTATAATGAATAATAAGTACAATGAAAAATACAATTATATTGTAAAATTATAACTGGGCAAGCATGGATGACATATTAATATTTGTCAGAATTAAGTGACTCAAAGTGCTATCGAGAGGTTTTTCAAGTATCTTTGAGTTTCATGGCCAAAGTGTTAACTAGTTTTACTACAATGTTTGGTGTTTGTGTGGAAATTATCTGCCTGGTGTGTGCACACAAGTCTTACTTGGAATAAATTTACTGGTACAAATTCTTAACTGTGCATTTCTTTGGAGGCTTCACTGAATACAGTCCTTTATCATGTCACCATTAGCCTATGCTGATCTTGGTCTGCCCAGTCTCTTCTTGCCACGTATCTTGTACACTGCTCTGAGAGATAATATTCCTAAAACCCAAATCTATCACATTCCTGCTTAAAAAACAGTGGGTTTTGAGCCTTAAAAAAAAAAAAATTTGGCAGAATTCTTTCTTCAAAAGCGGTGTTTCACTGAAACGTAGAAGCTGGAGGGGGTAAAGCAGGTTATCGCAATGCTGCCAAGGTGGAGTCCCCCACGGCAATTCCTAAAGGGATTTCATAGAATATAGTGGTTTATAAACCACTTTTATTTAGACTAAAGATTAAACTGTTGAAGATAGAGTTGAGGCTCCATGAGACAGCACCATGCTTACCCTATACTCTCATACTCAGCACTGTTCAGTAGAACTTTGCAGTGAGGAAAGGAATACTCTGTGTTGTCTGATGTGATGGACTCTAGAAACATGGGATTATTAAGTACTTCAAATTCAACTGAGAACTGAATTTCTAATTATATGTAATGTTAATTTAAATAGGCACATGTCTAGCAACTGGTATCTTGGACAGTACATCTCTGGTCATCCCATCAGATAATCCAGTCCTGATTTTAGAACAGTCACCTACTCACTTGCTTTGGGCCTTTCTTTATATTGTTCTTTCAGTCTGGAATGCCATCTCCTTTTTCCTTGGAAATACGACTTACCCTTCAGGTTCCTTTCAAATGTGTTCCTTTCTCCAGCCCCCGTAGGCAGAGACAATTCTCTCTTCCTACTTTTTTTTTCCCCCTTGATCTTGGTACTTTTACTAGGAGTTTAGTGCACTAATTATTCATTCACAGGTTCAGTCAGATAATCAGAATAGAAATTCTCTAAGGAAAGGAGATTTATTTTATTATTAGCTTTCCTCCATCAAGAATCAAGTATAGTGCCCAGCACACAGTAAAAAATCAGTAAATAATGGTATGCATAAGAATAATTGAGCCCAAATAGGAATATTGCAGGCATCTGTGTTACAACATCAAAAGTATCTACTTAATTTTAATTATTTGTTTCACTATCTCATATCGGAAAAAGGAATTATAACACTAAAGTATAGACAGTTACACTGAATTTAATGACTATTTAGCCCAGGGATAATTCTTGGTTATTATTTTTAAGACCATTTATAATATCAGCTTATGAGTATCGGTTATTTTCAAGAATGGCAGGATCTTGGCATATCATGCAGAAGGTCTGTTTTCTGTTAGAGCATTGCCTTGTGAATTGGAGAAACAGTGTATCATCACAGGTGTGTCTCTGCAGGTGTAGTGGATATAGCTGCATCATATTCTTTGAAACATTGTATTTTTAAAAAGTAATCCTACAAAGAGACCTGCTGAACTTAGAAATATAGGCAGGAAATACACCAGAATGCAACTTGGAAAAATGGAAGCTAATAAATCTGTCCTACACCTCGACTTCATTAAAAGGGAGCCCCTTTTTTTCATTTAATACCATCTTTTCTGGCTGCATTTTGATACTTGATGCTTTTCAGGGGATTTGGACCTTTTGTAAGAGTTGAGCCTTTCAGAGTTCTTTTGTTTGTGGCACCATAATAAAATAGGATATATTAACTTATCATGATAGAAAGCTAGAAACTTACCTGGAAACACCAACTATTAAGGTAAAATGAGCTGCCATTTGGAAGATGTCCTTCGCACCACTGTGTTTGATGGAATTGAGGACTAAGAGCTCCAAAATGATGAGGTAGATTTTGAAGAAGTCCTTAACTTCCCCTCCTTCTTTCTCCCTTTTGCTGACTCACTTTAATCCATTTTACTGGGCAAAGAAATAAGTAAAAGGCAGTCCTGTTATTTTGGTATTGTTCTCACCCTCAGCAGTATATCAGAGGGGAAACTGTAATGTGCCAGATCATGGAAGAAATGAGTTGAAAGCCCATTTTCCATGCTGGTTCTCAGCTTCATTTTTTTTGAAAAATTGACTCGTGTTTCAAGCAGCTTATTCTGAGAAGGGTTGAGGTTGCTGGCCTTCTGTTTCAACTTTGCTCAGAGTAACTATTTTATATAGTGGGGTTCTAAGTAGGATTTAATTGGACAAGGGGCTTCACAGCTTAAACACACCACCACATTGGGTTTGACTAACAGCTCTACTGTGTAATGCTTCCTGTAACCTTGGCAAGTTACTTAACCTTTCCGAGCTATTATTTTTTTTGGCTCTATATTGAAATATAAGTGTCTACTTTAAAGGATTACTCAGTGAATGAAAGAGACAGACTAGGTAAAATGTTTAGCAAAGTGTCTGGCACATACAGGCACACATCCATTTCTCCTTCCACAATGCACATAATCATTACTATCCATTAGCAGTAATAGTAATTAGCGATGCTAATGGTTAGGCAAGTACATATCATGGAAACAAAACTCTAAACCAAGGGGCAGCAAACTTCATCTAAAAGGCCAGATTTCTTTTTATAATCTTTCAAAAATGTAAAGACCATTTGTAGCCAGTACATACCATACTATTGTACTTAAATGACTGGTACAGTCTTCCAGGCCCAATGTACTCACTTACTTGTTTACCTTTAAGACACCTTGTTTGAGAGTAGTTGTCGTATATGCTGTGACTCCTATTACTCTATAAGGCTGCTGTTGTTTTTCCATATTATTTCTAATGTTGTGGACAACTATTTGCTTGCAGACCAGGAAGCCTAAAGGGTATATTTTAAAAGTCTGTCTCCAGCTATAGATTCTGGTGTGAGGAAGAGCAGTTATCTGCCTTCAACTCCCTCCCCCTGACAAACTTGCTGGGCCTGGCCAGAGATCTGAGGGACTCTGTATTTGAATATTTAATTGATTCCAAATGTCCTATGGAACACTGAAGAGAGAACATGTTACTAATCACCCTTCAGGAGCTTGGCCCCCACAGACAGGTTCAGATGTTCCACAAGCCTTCTCTGGGCGATGGGGAGTTAAATTAGTTACAGGCTAACATGGAGAAAGGTAGTTTATTCCTAGAGGAAACTAAGACGGAATGCTTAGTTTTATGCAGACAGTAAGGAAAAGCTTTTGCTAAGCCAGATGTGTAATCAAAGTGCAGTGGAAGCACTTTTAAGCAACTACCATCTAAGAGATTTGCTGTAATAACTGATTCTCCATTCTTTTTTTCTAAAAAAAAAAAAAAAAACTAATGCACATAGCATGTGAAACTCTAGGCTGATAGGCTTTCTTCTAGCACACAACAGCCCTTCTGCTTCCTCTTGTTCTATTATATACTTAAGAGTGAGTTGTGTACCATTTGTTATTCACTTAGCAAATATTTATTGAGTACCTATTATGTAACCGGGCATTATTCTAGTTCTGGGCATGCAGGAGGCAACAAAGAAAACCCAACCCAATTTGTGCATGCATATGTCAACTGTGCTGGTTAATAATCACATTACAAATTATTAATCATACTGCAAGTCAATGAAATGTGAGTACAAAGAATTTATATGAAAAGTAGAAAAGTAGTTTTGTAAAAACTAAATGAAAGCAAGTCACTAAAAATTTACTGTTGACTAAAGTTTCAAAGCAACTATCAAATACTAAAAATAAATACAAAATTATAAAAGGAGTCTGTAGTTAGTGCTTTGCAAGTAACTTTAAACTTTGAGTCCATTTTAAGGGCAAAAAAGCTAGAAATCCGACTCTACTATTTAAGTGAATACAGGAATACCACAGAGATACTTCTGATTTTGTTCCAGATCACCACAATAAAGCAAATATTAAAGTGAGTTACACAAACTTTTTTGTTTCTCCATGCGTGTAAAAGTTATGTTTATACTATACTGTTGTCTATTAGGTGTATAAGACCATTATGTCTAAAAAACAATGTACATACCTTAATTTAAAAATACGTTTTTTGCTCAAAAACCTCTAACAATTATCTGAGCCATCAGTGAGTCATTATATTTTTTCTGGTGGAGGGTCTCACCTCGATGGCTGCTGACTTCAGGGTGGTGGTTGCTGAAGGCTGGGTTGGCTGGAGCAATGTCTGAAAATACAACAACAATGCAGGTTGCCAAATTGATAAGACTGTTCCTTCCATGAAATATTTATCTGTAGCATGTGGTGGTATTTACCCACAGTAGAACTTCCTTCAAAATTGAAGTCAATCCTATCAAACCCTATTGCTGCCTTCTCAACTAAGTTTATGTAATATTCCAAATCCTTTGCTTTCATTTCAGAAATGTTCACAACCTCTTCACCAGGAGTAGAGTCCATCTCCAGAAACCCACTTTCTTTGTTCATCCCTAAGAAACAATTCCTTATGTCTTTAAGTTTTATCATGAGATTGCAGCAGTTCACTCACATCTTTAGGCTCCACTTCCAATTATCTTGTGATTTTTACCTCATCTGTGTTTACTTCCTCCAAAGAAGGTTTGAACCCTCAAAGTCATCCATGAGGGTTGGACTCAGATTTTTTCAAATTTCTGTTAATGTTGATATTTTGACCTTCTCCTTTGAATTATGAATGTTCTTAATGGCATCTAGAATGGTTAATACTTTCGCAGAAGATTGTCAATTTATTTTGCCCAGATCCATCGGAGGAATAACTGTGGCAGCTTTAGCCCTAGGAAATGTTATTTCTTAAATAATAAGACTTTAAAGTCAAAATTACTCCTTAATCCATGGGCTGCAGACTAGATGTATCAGCAGACATGAAAACATTAATCGTTTTATACATCTCCATCAGAGTTCTTGGGTGACTATGTGCATTGTCAATGAGCAGTAATATTTTGAAAGGCATCTTTTCTAAGCAATAGGTCTTAACAGTGGACTTAAAATTTCAGTAAACCATGCTGTAAACAGATGTGCTGTCATCCAGACCTTGTTGTTCCCCTTATAGCACATAGGCAGAGTAGATTAAACATAATTCTTACAGGCCCTAGAATTTTTAGTATGGTAAATGTGCATTGACTTCAACTTAAAGTCACCAGCTGCATTAGCCCCAAACAAGAGAGTCAGACTGTCCTTTGAAGCTTTGTTTCCATGCATTGACTTCTCTCTAGCTATAAAAGCCTCAGATCGCATCTTCTTCCAATGGAAAGCTATTTTGTCTGCATTAAAAATCCGTTGCTTAGTGTATTAGTCCATTTTCATGCTGCTGATAAAGACGTACCCAAGGCTGGGCAATTTATAAAGAAAAAGAAGTTTAATGGACTCACAGTTCCACGTGGCTGGGGAGGCCTAACAATCATAGCAGAAGGTGAAAGGCATATCTTACATGGCTGCAGGGAAGAGAGAAAATGAGAGACAAGCAAAAGAGGTTTCCCCTTATAAACCCACCAGATCTCTTGAGACTTATTCACTACCATGAGAACAGCACAGGAAAGACCCATCCACATGATTCAATTACCTCCCACGGGTCCCTCCCACAACACATGGGAATTGTGGAAGCTACAATTCAAGATGAGATTTGAGTGGGGCACAGTCAAACCATATCACTTAGTGTGGCCACCTTCATCAATGTTCTTAGCTAGCTCTTCTGGATAACTTGCTGTAGCTTCTGCATTAGCACTTGCTGCTTCACCTTGCACTTTAATGTTGCAGAGATGGCTTCTTTCCCTAAACCTCATGAACCAACCTCTGCTAGCTTCAAACTTTTCTTCTGCAGCTTTCTCACCTCTCTCAACCCAGATAGAGTTGAGTTAGGGCCTTGCTCTGAATTAGGTTTTGGCTTTAGGGAATGTTGTGGCTGGTTTGATCTTAGAAGATCACTTTAGACAGCCCACTAAAACTTTCTCCATATCAGCAATATGAGGCTGTTTCACTTGCTTATCATTCATGTGTTTCCTGGAATTGCATGTTTAATTTCTTTCAAGAACTTTTCTTTGTGTTCATAACTTGGCCAACTGTTTGGCAGGAGAGGCCTCGCTTTTGGCCTTTCTTGGCTTTCAACATGCCTTCCTCACTAAGCTTAATAGTTCCTAGTTTTTGATTTAAATTGAGAGATGTGAGACTCTTTCTTTCACTTGAATGCTTAGTAGCCATTGTAGGATTATTAATTGACTTAATTTCAATATTGTTGTGTCTCAGGCAATGGGGAGGCCCAAGGAGAGGGAAAGAGATGTGGGAATGACCGGAGCAGTCAGAACACACACAACATTTATCAATTACATTTGCCATCTTATATGGGTGGGGCTTCTAGTGCCCCAGAACAATTACTAGGATAACATCAAAGATTACTGATTACAAATCACTATTACAGATAAAATAATAAAGTTTGAAATACATTTTTTTTTTGAGACGGAGTCTTGCTCTGTCGCCCAGGCTGGAGTGCAGTGGCACTATCTCAGCTCACTGCAAGCTCTGCCTCCTGGGCTCACGCCATTCTCCTGCCTCAGCCTCACGAGTAGCTGGAACTACAGGCGCCCACCACGACGCCTGGCTAATTTTTTATATTTTTAGTAGAGACGGGGTTTCACCGTGTTAGCCAGGATGGTCTTGATCTCCTGACCTCATGATCCACCCACCTCAGCCTCCCAAAGTGCTGGGATTACAGGCGTGAGCCACTGCACCCAGCCATAAAGTTTGAAATATTGCTAAGCATTACCAAAATATGACAGAGACATGAAGTGTGCACAAACCATTGAAAAAATGTCACCAATGGATTTGCTCCATGCAGGGATGCTAGAAACCTTCAGTTTGTTAAAAAAAAAAAAAAAATGCAGTACCTGCAAAGCACAGTCAAGTGAAGCATGATAAAACAAGGTATTCTTGAACAATGTAAGAAAATGAAATTCCAAGTGAGTCCATGCTCAAAAAGGAAAACAACGAAGATACCAGTTGAACCCGTAGCCTTATATTAGAAGATAGACAAAGAAATGAACATGTTATATGTTTTAAGTTCAAACATTTTGTGGTACATATAATTCATCTTTTTTATTTTCTGCTTTAATCAACTTTTTAAATGTAACCAACCAATTCAAAATAAGAATGCTTCTATTGTACAGCAGAGGTATCACTTCATATCAGAAGAGTTTTCGTTTGGAGGGATAGAAATAAATGTGTTCTGTGTCGTGAAGCATGTTTTTCCAAGGAGTTCTAATCTAAATTTGGGAATAGTTTTATTTTTTAAAATGCACCAGTATATTGAATTGATAACTTGATATATTTGGTCCTAAAGTGTTTTTGTAGCCAGTTCTTAAAATTTAGTTTCATCATCAGATTTGTTTCTCTCTCTCTCATTTTAAAATCTCCTATTAATTGTGATAAATATGTTTCTGAATGTTTATAATAAAGTTATTTTTCGTATGTCATTTTATATTTGGAAGTTGCCATGTTACATATGAACTATTCCAGGCTGGTTTGTCCTAAGTTGGGGGTTTTAGAGTCTATTAAAAACAAAAAAGTTTCTACCTTCCTTTATAATGTTGAACTTAAGCACTTGTACCTTCCTCTTTTTTCTTTTTGGTATAACCCACAGATGTAGATAGTTCTCCAGCTTTTGACAGAATGAAATTGGTTCTAAATCTTCCTAATAGCCCCCATTTTTGCTACTATGAGAGTAGTAAGGTGAATAAATAGTAGAATTTTAAGTTGTAAACAGATTCAAAACATTTTATCTGTGCAGGCATACATATATGTTGGCATTTTAGTTACATCTTGAAGTTATCCACATGGTTTGAGGAAATGTTGAGCACAGAAAAATATATAATTATTATTAGTTTGTGAAAAAAGCAGAGCGAGTTTCTGCCACCAACCCATGAAAGCACAGGAAATGGCTTTGTGTAGTAGGTGTTTGAGTCTAGGCATTCTGTTGACAGAAGTGGGTTCTACCCAGGGGTTTTGTGTTAATGTAATCAAACACTTCAGAGCTGCAGCCTAACAAGATCAAGTCCACCCACCTCAGAGTTTATCTTTAGCTCATCTGGAAGAGTTTATTTTAAACATTGAACATTGTTTGCTGCTGTTGAAATGAAAGTGAGAGAGTTACAAGCTTTCTTCCACTGCCATCTGGCAGGTTTACTGATGGATCGGGTTCTTTAATCCATGTAACCCTGTGTGTGGGAGCTATTGTCTTTGTGTTGATCATGCAGCTGGCTTGGCTGAACTTTAAAAAGCTTACATAAAGCTATCAAAAGCCATCCTATAGATAAATGAAGTTGAGGATGTTGCAAAAGTCACTGAGGCCTTTTTGGAGAAGGCTTGGATATATATTTTTCATTCTTCACTGAACACATATTTTGCATGTTCTCTTTATGAACTGGAAAAGAGGAAGATAACTGTATTTGGATATTTTGAAAGAAATAACTGAAGCTACCAAAAAAAATGATTATTCTTAATTAAGAAAAGTATTGTAGCATAGTAGAAAGGAAAGAAACAGCAGATTAGGGCGTCCATATTTCATTAAAGTAAATGTGGGATGTAAAAAGTCACATGTGTGTGCTCTTTTCTCGGTGGAGGTTTGTCTGGCTTTTTCTTCAGCCTACATATGGCATAGGGATGTTCAATGATACACTTATTACATACTTAATAATTAGCTATAGCATCCTTAGGTATAGTACTACACAGAATCTCATGTAGTATGCTACTAAGTATAATAATTTACAACCAACTCCAGGGCACAGTTTCAACCGTATTCTCAAATGCATACATACATCTGCATTAAGAGACTGCATGCAAAGAGTAGACTATGTGTAAGATAGGGTATCTTGCAAAAATTTTTATATTACATTTGTAGGAACATAAGACAAATGGAACATGAAATATCTTGGATATGGTCAATTGGTATTCAGTTTTCTTTCCTACCTACATCTAGAGTGCCCTTTTTTATCTTGCATGAGTTGGACAATTTAAAAACAAAAACAAACTACATTGCCTACATCAAGAATGAAAACCAGTTTCCAGCAAACATATACCCATGAAATTAGATGTTGAGGGGACAACTGAGCAGGCCTTTTTACCTATAGTTTTTGGCTATTTTCTGCTGGCAAGAAAGGCCATAGAAACAGAGTCAATTTTGTTTCGTTTTGTTTTCTTTGATAACAAGAGGCAATTGGGGCCGATTCTACAATGATTCCATGTTGACTCACCTCCTGATGGGTGTTGAGAGGAGGTTGCAGTCATGATGGTATCTTGATTCCAGTTCGCTGATGTTTAGATCCTAGTATGACACACATGATGCCATGTGTTTTAACTTTTATTTCCATTGGCAGTCTTTAGGTCTTACAACTTCCTGAAGGTGCAGATTTGGGCAGAAGTAGTACCTTCCCCTCGCAGGTCAGTTCTTGTGTATTCTTGGAGTCATTTCTATTTCTAGAACCTATGTCATTCTTCCAGGCCTTTCCATTATTTTATACATACCTACTTTAATGTTTTCTGTTCCTCCTTAAAATATCTGGGATGGATTCTGTTTCATATAACAAATATAATCTACCAGGATTGCTGACCAGAAAGGAAAAACATAAGTTGGTAATTAAAATCACTTTGCAAATGACCAAGCCATGGCATATATAGAAGGCACAAAGAAATTCGGTATTACTACTTGAAGGGCTGGGGGTGGGTTGGGGGAAGAGAGGCAATCAGTATGACATTTCTTTAATCACAATTGTACAATGTTGAAGCCTTAGCTTAGTAGCCTCAGATATTTGAATTTGTCAAAATATCTGTCAATAATGAGAAACCAACAAAAGAACAGGAAACTTTTCTTTGGGTAGCAAAATGTATCCCAATAAAGAAAATCCATTTGGGAAGCCAACTTATACTCAGAATCTTAATTAGTTCTTCTAGAATCAGAGCACAGGAAGTGACTTCTGAGACTGAATGTTTAGTGGCATTAGCAGTAATATCTGCATTAGGCCCATCCTTAAGCAGGAGATTTATGCTCTGGATGTGTCTCTTTAAGTGGGCCTTGTAATTATGTGTTCTGTTTTGCTGACTTTACTGCATCTGAGTGACATTTTTTTAAAAAAATATGTGTTTATCATTTAAATGTTTCTAGTCTAGCTGAGGAAACATTTTGTCTCTGCTGTATGACAGAGAAGTAGAAGGGGCCAAGTGAACCAGCCACATTCAAAGACACAGGTAAGGTAGAGGAAGATATTATTCTTCCTCTTCCAGTTGGAGACACTGACAGTTGAGAAAAATCTATATCAGGATATAGATATTCCTATATGAGAAATATGAGACTTCATTTCCTAATATGAGATTTCTGGTGAATAGATTAATTCATCACAGCTGTTTTCCATTTAGGAAAAATGTAATTAATACGAGGCTTCCTTCAGCAGCCAATGTGATTAGGACTGTAGAATGACTCGTGATGGATAATCCTGCATAAGTGTTTTGGGTAGTGTGAATGGATTAGAAAGACATTCATGACCGAATCCTTGGTTACCTTAGGAATATTTATTCCTGTGTTTATGCTGCAAAACAAGTCAGAGAAGTAGAGATAGGAAGGGACTCAAAGGTTAGTTGTGAGTGGCCAAGCACTAAACTGTGAGTACACTGAAAGCAGGAATCTGTTTGCACCTTTTCTGCATCCTGCTAACATCTGGAATGGGGCTATATCAATCACTCACAAAATATTAGGTTGACAAATTAATTAGTTAATTAATGACCTGAAAGCTCAGGTGTCTACCACATTACTGATGGTCAGGGTAGATGGGGCTGATTTGGCTGTCCTGGTAGATGGTCTCTCACTATACCCTAGGAAATGAGTTCCATCTTTATTGAAGAAAAGAGAGCTCTTCTGGCTTGTGAAGCCAATGCTGGATTCTTCTTTAACACTCGTATTGAACAGTCAAAACAGTAAGCATGAAAATGCCGTTAAGTAAGTGTGGCATTATTTTTGACAATGATAGTCAATGGTAATTGGGAATTAGTACAAGGAAAACTAGAATGTCTACAAAGAAAGCATACAGACAATCATAATCATCATCATCATCATCCTGCCACAAATTCCCCTGGAAATTTCTGTATAGTTCAGTCAAATTATTGACTCCATCTTCTAGTTCTTTCTGCAGATGCCTGTGTATTTTAGTAAGCAGCCTGTCTTCAGTTGACAGATGTGACTTGCTAAAGCCAACACAATTAATTTTGCCATATTTAGTATTAATTTACTCCAGCTGTTAATTAATTTTCAAATAAGTTTACACGTAGGAAAAAAACTAAAGAAGACTTATTTTCTTTTTAAAATAGTGCCACATTCTTGCAAATCCCTAAGACCATGGCTCATCAGTTAATAGAATAAAATAGGACATGTGATTAAACTCATTAGGGAAAATTCTTTCCAGAATAAAAACTACTATTTATTTGAGATAGTTTACATATATTATCTCTAATTCTTGTAACAACATTGTAAACTATTCTTATTCCTAATTTATAGATAAGGAAACAAGGCTTCAGAAAACTCAAGTGACTCATCTGCAGCCACGATTTGGACCAAAATCTTTAGAGTTTAGAACCTTTGGCTTTTTTACTCAACCAGCAGATCCTTCTTTTAGTGAACTAAAATGATGTACTTAGAAAAAGTTAAAATTTCCTCTGAAATCAAAACAATCTTAGATATTTAACTCTCGTATATGGTTATTATTCAAAATTTTTCTCTTTCATATATTCATTTTCTAGAGTGGACGTTATTTTAAACAAGATTATTTCTGCCTGATAGGTCAAGAATGCATTAAAAAAAAATTCAATGACTACTATATTTAGTTTCTCTGTCAACACAAGTTAATTGAAAAGGTTTCTGCATAATATCCCCAAGTGTAAATTATTTATCAGGGTGGTTAAATAACCCAGTGCCACTCTAGAGTGTTGGTTTCCTGCCAGAGGGATATATATCATCTTTCAGGGGTTTGGAGAAATTGCACAAACAATGAACATGTCTGAGTTAAATCACAATATGGTGATCAAAAGAACCATATTACAGTACCATATAGTAAATGCAACTATTTCTTTTGAAATGCAACCGTTTTAACTCTTCAACATCTGCTGAGAATTCAGTGATTAGACATAACTCTGAAAACCCACTAAAGACTCCAGATATTTAGTATAGCTTTCCCACTATACAACCAATAACACACTTGACATAGCAATATTATTTCATAAAAACTGTCTGAATAAAATTAGAGTTCACAGAGAAAATATTGTATTTTCCTTTTCAAAAACATTATTTAAGGGAATGTCAGCTTATAGACATGATGGGCTAAATTACTTTGACCAATTTTTATTCCAGAACAACTAGAAATTCTGGATGAAATTTAAATAGATTAGATAGATAGATAGATAGATAGATAGATAGATAGATAGATAGATACATAGATACATAGATACATAGATACATAGATAGATACATAGATAGATATCCATATGTCTACTTTTTTTCTTAAAAACATCATAATGCTACAAGCTGGTGAAAAATTTTTAGGTCAAAATCAAGCCAACATGAAGGTGAGAACCCTACCTAAAAGTTAAGAGAGAACGCAAAATCACTTTTACCCAGAGGGTATTTGTCTTCCTAGAAGAAACGACAATGAATGTGAACGTTTGTTTTGACTGCCTAGCACCTCAAGGACAACAGAAGTGAAAGTCTGCAAAACATCTGGGGTTTGATAGATACCCACACAGATTCACAATAAGCTGGATTCTGAAGGACTACGTGTTTATCTTAAGGTATGCATGAATTAACACTATTACACTCCTAACTCTCCCATGGAACAGGAGAGTTGCCTTAACACTGAGCAGAGAGGGTATGTATAAAAGGAAAAAAAGGAAAATCTTTCCCAGGAAGATTACAAGTTAAGCACTGGCCTCCATGCAGAAATACAAATGATTTTACCAGGGCAATCCAAGAAAGTTCAAATCATCGATTTGGCCTAAAATTGTTAGGGACTGATAGTATACTAAATGACTGGCAGGAAAAAACCCACATCTTCTTTGAGGAAAATAACTTCATAAAAAGGCTTGGGCAGCCCCTGTAAATAATTTTTTTAAGGGCAGTGAGTAGCACCAAGGATACAGGTACAGTTACCATGAGTGAGAATCAGCAACACTGATCCACATATTTCAGATATGGGAATTGTCAGACATAGAAAGAAAATAGAGAATAGGAACAGAGGCAATATTTCAGAAGATAATGAAAATTTTCTAGAATTGATGAAAAACAACAATTCACAGCTCCAAGAAGCCTAATTTTAAATAGAAACATTGAAAAGGCATATATTAAAAACTTGTGTGTACACATGAGTGGACATAAGATCCACAGATGTTCAGAGAAACTTTATTAATAATCGCCAAAACTTGGAAGCAACCTGCCCTTCAATAGGTGAACAATCATAAACTGTGATACATTCAATCAATAAAACAGGATTCCTTCTAACAAGAAAAATGTGCTATCAAGCTATAAAAATACAAGAAGGAACCTTAAATGAATGTTGCTAAGTGATAGAAGCCAAACTCAAAAAGCTTCATACTGTATGATTTGAACTATATGACATTCTGGAAAGGCAAAACTATGGAGACAGTTTAAAGATTAATGGTTGCCAGAAGTTGAGGGGAGGGAAGAATGAACAGGTAAAGTACAGACGATGTTTAGGTCATCGGAACTATTCTTTGTGGTATGACAATGGTAGATGCATATCAAAACCCATAGAAACTACTATACCAAAAGTGAATCCTATTTAGAAAAAAAACAATTCATACTAAGATACATCATAATGAAACTATAGACAACAGAAGGCAAAGAGAAGATCTTAAAAACCACAGAGAAAAAGAGAAAGATCATCATTAAAAGAGAGACAACTGATAAACAACTACCTTTTCACCAGCAATTATATAAGCCAGGAGAGAGGAATTAATCTAATGAATAAAAATAACTGCCAACTTAGAATTCTATATTCAGTTAAAATATATATCAAGAATAGATATGAAACAAAAATGTTAACAAAGGTACCCAAACTGAGAGAACTGGCCATAGCTGAACTATAACAAAGGACACTCTAAATGATTCACTTCAGTTTTAAGGAAAATAATTCCAGATGGAGGTTCTGAGACTTGTAAAATAAGCAAAACCAAAGAAAATATTAAGTAAAAATAAAACTGAAAATTATATTAGAAAATAATAATATAAAGTAATAAAGTAAAATGATGACTTATATCTGACAATATTTAGGTATAAGTCAGGAAGGGGTAAGTTGAGTTAAAGTATTCTAAATGTTTTCCATTGTCTAGAAATAATATAAAAGCAAAGATTGATATTAAAATTTACGTCAAGATTACATGATACAATTGAGAGTAGCCATTGAAATAACATTAAGATGGTATAATCTCCAAACTAAGAAAGCAGAAAATAACCAGAAAGATAAAAATAATCTTTCTGAAAAAAAAAGATAGTATCAGTCACAAAATAATGTGAGAGATTTAACCAAAACTGTATAGTTACAATAAATGTAACTGATTAAATACTTCTGTAAAAAGAAGAGATTTTAGACTTTTTAAAAGGTCTAATTTCATGCTGTTTCAAGACATGCATCTTAAATGTAAGTATGAGGATAGGTTGAAAATAAAAGAAAGAAAAAAGATACTTCAGGAAAACAGTAACCAATTGAATAACCAGTTATTCAATTAAGTTACTGAACTTATTCAACTATATTAAGACAAACTAGAACTTAAGCCAAAAACCATTAGCATAGAAAAAGAAGGTCACTTATGATAAGAAAAGTTTTAATTCACCAGGGAAATATAACAGTTTTACAAAAAATTGCAAGAATTTAACTGTATGAAAATTTAAAATTGTAGAGTCTCAAACGTACAAAACAAAAAGCAAAACTGTGTATCTTCAAGAAAAATAGGCATATCTACTGTCACAGTGGATTTTTAAAATGCATCTCTCTCAGTAATTGAGAAAGCAGACCAAGTATCAGTGAGCCTACAGATGGTTTGAACAACAATTTGAATAATAAAGTTGATGCAATGTATAGATACGGAACACTGTGCTCAACAACTCCAGGATACATCAAGTTTCAAGCACATGCAGAATTTCAAAATGTGACTTTCTATCGGAGTATAAACCAAGATTCAACATATATTATGGATTTAAGATTACATGGAATGTATTCTCTAGTCACAATTCAGCTAAAATAAACATCAGTAACTAAATAATAATTTGAAACTCTCATAAGTTTGAAAGAAGGGAAATATACTTCTAAATTATCATGGGTCATATAAGAAATCAAAATGGAAGTTGTTTTTGTTTTTGTTTGTTTTTGAGACTGAGTTTCACTCTTGTTGCCCAGGCTGGAGTGTAGTGGTGTGATCTCGGTTCACTGCAACCTCCACCTCCCAGATTCAAGTGATTCTCCTGCCTCAGGAGAGGCATGTGCCCCCACACCTGGCTAATTTTTGTATTTTTAGTAGAGACGCGGTTTCTCCATGTTGGTCAGGCTGGTCTCGAACTCCCAACCTCAGGTGGAAGTTTTAAAATATTTGGAAAAAAAAAAGATAATGAAATTATAGTCTTGAATAAATATATAAAAATAGAGCATAACTGGAAATCAATCATTTATGTGGTTATCTCCAGAAGTTAAAGAAAGTAGAGCAAAAACTAAAGGAAGGTTTAAAAAAAATTGAAAGCAAATGAAATGGTTCCTCTATTGCTAACCCTTCTGACACCAAATGTGTGGGGTACAGTTTTTCAATTCTCTGCAATCACCAGCTGGGAGTCCAATTATTCAATTATATTCTGACATTATCTATGAATAATTAATGTCAGACTCCGAGAGTTAAAGGCCCAGTCTCACAAGACCACTATCCCCTACAACTTAAGGCATTGATTCCAAGTAGCGGGTCCATAGGTTACCTACATTTTGTCCAACTTGGCCACAAATCACAGGTTTTCACCAACCTATCCTCAGGTTCAATAATCTGCTTACAGAGAGTGGATCATCCTTCCAGCACATGGATGCCTTCAGCAACCCAGAAGCTCTCTGAACCCCATTGTTAGGGGGTTTTACGGAGGCCCCATTATATAGGCATGATTGATTAAATTATTGTCCATTGGTGATTGAACTTAATCTCCAGTTCCTCTACCCTCGCCAGAGGCTGTGGAGTGAAACTATAAATTCCAACCCTCTGATCCTGTGGTATAACCTTTCATTATGAAGAGTTAATCCAATCAAATATTCAGCGGCTTAAGAAAAGTTGCAAGAAGTAGGTTGGTTAACATGCCCTGTTCCTTAGGGAGCACTCTGGGTTGCTGAGCCTCTTCCATCACATCCAACAGCAAGCTCTCTTTCTACTTTCCATTGACCAGGTCAGAAGCAGTCATACTTACTGGCTTATGGATGGTGCCCCATCTAAGACTGAGAAAACTGGCACATGCTTTGCAAGTGGCTTACTTCCTGAGAAGCATGTTGTTATTTTCCCTGGCTCCTTCTGGCATCTGTATCCTCTCATCAGCCTGCTTCATTTGATAATATTATAAGATCTCTCAGAAATGCTGTTCACGTCTGCCTATTTTAGCATTGTCTACTAATACAGAGGAAAGTAGTATATTTTGAGCAGTTTTTCGTGTATCAGGTGTAAACCTAGACAGTTATCTGTGATATAGATCAGTAACCATTTTAATGAGAAAATTGTTATACAAAAGTCAAGTCATTTGCTCACTACCATGCTGTTTGTAACTGAAGAAGCATAAGTTCAAACCCATCTCTGCACGCCACCCCAGAAATTCTAATTTAATCAACCTTGGGTGGGCCCCAGGCCTTGACTTATTTTTATGGGAATAATAAATGTTTTGAAGAAGCAGCCAGGATTGAGAATGTCTACATTAAGAAGCTCTCCTGAATAATGAAGAAAAAAAAATGAGCTTGATCTACGCCAGCTCTCAGGAAATGCATGATGTCTTTGAACAAGACTTACCCTTTGCCTGCATGCTTTCTTGCTTTCTTCTCTCACTCTGGCATCACCCTCTGATATCCCATTCCTGATATTTCTTTAGATTTGGAAGATGCCTTAACCAAAACATTTTAGATACATCACTAATGGTTTTCAACTTTTTCTACTATCTATATGTTACATTGGTACCCCTGAAACTTATGTATATGTTGAATTTAGACTTTCATGATCACTAATAAAAAAAAAGCTGTGTGAATTATCCCTAGGACATTTTTGGAGGCCAAAAGTTCTGTTTGACAGTGGCATGTATGTTGTGCAGTGTTTGTGGACTTACATGAATATTGACTGAATTTTATAATTTTTTAAAGAAAGGTTAAAATTTTAAAAAAGAAAGCGATACATCAATCTAAGTTTCATAATTCTAACACATTTGAGACTAAATTGCCAAGTAGTTGATACTCATTTTGTTGTTCCAGTTGAATGATTGAATAAATGAATGAATGAAATGAAATGCGTGTACTGAAAGCAAACAATTGATGACCTTAATGAACCTCAATATGCATTGGGCTTACACTCATTATTGTTGTGTTCAATTATAAAATACAATTTAAACAATTATTAAAGAATAGAAATAAAATGCTAAAAATATTTCTAAAAATAAAGGTTTTTATACAGAAATAGTAAGGTGTAATTAGAAATTTTGCAATTTATATTTATCTGGGACCAGCTTTTTCTTACAATATATCTGTATGCTTGTTCAACTTAAATATACTTGACTTTTATACACGTCTAAGAAATATATCATGTCTAGGAATAGGTGTCTGACTTTGGACTTTGATCTTTATAACACTTTATGAGGTAGGTATTATTAGCCCCTTCTACAGATGAGAAAACTGAGGCTTAGAGGGGGAAGGTGGCAACTGTTAATGAGTAGGGCTGGTGGCCAGTCTTAGGCTTCTACTCATTTACTTCTCATCCTGCAATCCCATAAGCTTTTAGGCCTTTTCCTCACTCAACTTTCATGAATCCCAATGAATGTGATCCAACAAATCCTAAAGAGAGACCCACCTTCTTCCCAGATATTTTTATTTTCATTTTCATTTTAAAGGCTGTTAAATATCCAGTGGAATGATTATCTACTGGTAGACTTTCAACAGCTATAAATTAAACTAGAAAAGTGGGTGGCTACTCCTAAATCTCACCTTTCTATACATTAATCCCAGTTATCAGAAAAAAAGAATCTCCTTGGTGAGAACAAAGCTCCAGCCTCTTCTGAGTAGAGGGTAACCTTTTTCAACTGATCACCATCATCTGAAGGGGCTTCAACAGAACTGCATAGTATCCCAGAATTAAATAAATTACACGTGTGGTTATAAGAAAGTTAAGCACTATTTATCCACATCATTAGTCATAGAAGTTCTCGTAGGGAGGAACAGCCCAGCCCCACAGGTCAGCCACTTCATGTTTCCCTAACACTTCCACTGTTTTTTAAACACCCGCTTCTTGATTTATGACTGTACTGTGGCCTCAGGCTGGGGCTAATAATGCAGCACGTACCACTCCCGATCAGAGTGACACACACATTTCCTCGCACCAATTTAAGTCATCCCATATGTGGGCTCTCGTCTTTTATGCTGCTATCTGGAAGTTCATGAAAACAGGTGACCTGTATTGCAAGCCAGGGACCTTTACTTCAACATGAAGACTTTCAGCAAACGATTCTTACTTCTCAGCTAAACTGCAGCCACTCAGTATTCTTGAAGCCTTTTAGCCTTTTTTCTACCTGCTCCTTATTTTCCTCCAATTGGGTCATTTACTTCCACTAGGAATGCTTTCCCTTATCCTCACCCAGTGTGAACAAGAATTATTTTTCACTTTCCTTACAAAATTGCTACCCAGGTGATGAGCTCCAGGTCACACACCACCACCACAGGAAGCCTTTCTCATTTCCACCTCTGTTGATCCCTTAGCACACTACTGCAAGTCATGGCCATGTTGTGTCTATACCTGGGTCAGATCCATATGTGTTTCTATGCCTGGCACATTTAGGCAACCAGAAAAAGTCAACTAACTATTTTGAAATTATCTATAAGTGTAAGTGTCTTTTATATTCTAGATATGTACTGAGTGCTAGTGATATATTGATTAATAAGACTGATTGGCCAGGTGTGGCGGCTCATGCCTATAATCCCAGCACACTGGGAGGCCAAGGTGGGTGGATCTCTTGAGGTCAGGAGTTCGAGACCAGCCTGGCCAACATAGTGAAACCCCATCTCTACTAAAAGTACAAAATAGCCAGGCGTGGTGGTGGGCACCTGTATTCCCAGCTACTCGAGAGGCTGAGGCAGGAGAATCGCTTGAACCCAAGAGGCAGAGGTTGCAGTGAACTGAGATTGCGCCACTGCACTCCAGCCTGGGCAACAGAGCGAGACTCTGTCTCAAATAAAAAAAAAAAATGACTGATTTTTTTTCCCCATCAAAGTACTCACAGTCTAGCAGATGTAGATAAACATACACATGCACAAAAAAGCTATAATGCAAAATGGTAGAGTCTATGGTAAACAGCTCAAAGTATAACTAAACTTGGTTCTTGGGAAGCTTTGGATAAGCATGTAATGTTGAGTTGGCCTGTGAAGCACGGGATCCTTGTGGGAGAAGGGGAAGAGATGTGTTGCAGGCTGTAGAAAAACATATGAGGAGGCACAGAGACGTGGCCTTGGTGTGGCAGGAGACTGAAGACGACAGAGGACCCTGGAGAGATGGATGAAATCAATATCGCAAAAGGTCTGAAGGGCATGTGGAGGAATGTAAAGGGGACCTAGACTTTTAGACAGTAGGGCAGATCAGAGCTTTCTTAGCATATGAATGGCACAGTTGGCACTGATTTCAGATAGATTACAATCACAAGGATAGGGTATATTAAAGTGGGGACGGTGGTGACAGACCAGCTAGTTAGGAGATTGGTACTCTGATCTAAGAAAGAGCTAGTCAGGGTTTCTGCCAGCCTCACAAAAATTGAGAGAAGTGATAGCTACTCTAGGAGAAGAATTGACAGCTCAGGAAATTTACCAGATGTGGGAAGTCAGTAAGAGAGTAGAGGCTAGAAAGATTTTAAATGGGATTAAAATAACAAAACTGATTCTTGGCCTTTGGCACGTAGGCATCCCCTTGGCACCTGGCCCACCCTGAAACAGGGCAGAAGAAACTCCAATAACCTCAGCCTTCTCTGGAAGACTTAATTTTCCCAGACCAGTCTGAGGAGAGACTAGAAAGTGACCACTGGTGCCAAAGGAAGGATCTATCTAGGCCTGAGGCAGCACAATGATTTCTCTTCATTCACTCATCTTGTTAATCCTTTCTTAATCAAACATTTATTAAGCAGCTTCCATCTGACCTCAAGTAACTTGGTGGAGGAAGTAGGAAAGTAGATTTTGTGGGATGAATTTTGTCCCTCTAAATTCATATGTTGAATCCCTAACCCTCACCTTAGAATGTGACTGCATTTGGAAATAAAGCCTTTAAAGAGGTAAATAAGTTAAAATGAAGCCATTAGGGTGGGCCCTCATGTAATCTGACTCATGTCTTTCTAAGAAAAGGACATTTAGACACACACAGAGATACCAGGGATGCACACAAAGAGGAAAGGCCAAGTGAAGACAGGGTGAAGCCGTGGAGAGAAGCCTCGGAAGGAACCGTCACTGTCGACACCTTGATCTTGGACTTCCAGCCTCTGGAACCATGAGAAAATACATTTCTATTAAGCCCCCCAGACTGTGCTATTTTGTTATGGCATTTCTAGCAAATGAACACAATGGATGACTACAATTTGTAGTGATGAATTTGATACAGTTGAAACCTGGTACAATGGGGCACAAAGGGAATCGTGATCAATTCAGCCCATGAGATCTAGGGGAGCAAGAAGTCCTCAAATGAGGTTCTGAAGGATGAGCAGGAATTTGCCAAGCAAAAATTGAAGGATGCCATCCTAGGCAGAGGAATTTCTGCTTTTGGCTCCGCAGTTTGTCGCTCCATATTAGTCCTGTCCATTCCCAGGGTCTGTTTGCCTCAGCTCTCTTCCAGCTAGACCCTATTTTCAAAAAGAGCACGAGCTCTGTTCTTTCTCGAGGCAACTCTCTGCTTTGCCTGATGCTGCTTGGCTACATCCCGAGCAAGCTGCCTTCAAGAGTTTGTAAAATCACTGCTGACAGCCACAGCCCACATGGCCCTGCCAGCACAGGCTCCTCCAAATGGCCCTTCATCCAGAGAGCATTGACCTAGTCTCATGGATTGGCCCTGCTTGAAACGCATGCCTTTTTGTGCACCACCATGACCAGGGAAATGGTGGTGTTCCCTGATTGCCAGGGCAGCCGGGGTGACCATAGCAACTCTGTGATTGCTGCTATCAGAACCACATGAAATGGGTTTAGGAAAGAGGAGCTCTCTTATCAAATGTAGAAGGAATACCAGGTAGACAAAAGCAGCAGCCGTTCATTGCAGTATTATTTTTACTGCCATTTAGAGAAGAGAAAACGGAGGCTTGGAGAAGAAGTGGCTTGTGAGCATTAAACATTCATTCATTAATTCAGCCATAAGTTATTAAGCACGTACTATATGTTAAGCACCATGCTAGGTCCTTGGAATCTATTAATGACTGAAACAAACAAACACTTCTAGTTTTATGTAGATTGAACTAGAGGGGAAAGTGGCATCCAAAAAAAATAAAATTTACAAATCAATTAATTGTATACCAAGAAGGTGATCAGGGAAAAAAATCAGGGAAGGAAAAGGGGTGCAGACAGAGATAGTAATAATTTCACAGGGTGAGTCTCATTAAGAAGTTTATATGTAGGCAGAGACATAAAGGAGGTGAACCCATTGGTTAGGCCAAGGAAGAAGCAATACAAGGGCCATCAAGTAGGAGCTGCGTCTGGCATTGTTGGAGGACAAGTAGCCAGGAGGACAATGTGGCTAGAGAAAAGTGAACAAGGTTAGCATATGAGTCAGGGTGATTGGAGCTTAACAGTTTTCACCTTAGGTGGCTTGGGTTTCTACTAAGAACTTAAAAGGACCTCAGGCCAGTGCTTCCAAGGACGTAGGCTGCCATTAAGGGAAGTGGGGAGCCATCGCAGGATTTTGAGCAGATCAGTACTTTGATCTGATTCAGAAGGATCACTCTGACTGCAGGGGTGAGAATGGACTTCTCCGTATTTTCAGTAGGAGAAGAAAGCACACAGCTTAAATCCAGCCCTGGCTTTCTCTGACTCCAGAATCTCAGCACTTATCCTGTGGTGTACAGGGAGGGCCTGGAGCCCTTGAGTGTGGAAACTTTTAGACAGCGAGACCCTGAGGACTTAGCAAGGCCTGTGTCCTGATAACCCCCATCTTCCTACCTCCAACCAGGTAGAGGGCATTTCCTAACCAGTATTTCATACCTAGAGAATCTTTCGAAAAGTCTCCTTGCCGACCCCCATCTCTGTGTCAATGAAGAGATTTTATGGGCTTGTTTAAGAACCCCATTTGCTTTTTATACAGATTTTTTTTCCCAGTCTCTTTTATACCCAAGTGATATTTTTAAATTAATTTCATTGAAAAAGATATAATTATGAAGCTTGCTTATATAAACTGTACATGCAAAGATTCTCCAAGCCTCTCCTTCAATGTAGAGCTCTTTTGTGGGCAAATGAAGCCTCCTTCTGGATTATATTTCTACGTCCAGGTTTGCATAATTATTATTGCTAAAAATGTATCCCTTTTCTTCAGGCCTAGCTCTCTAACCTTAGCAGGCAGGATGCTCCCAGAATTGGGCCGGCCCTCTGCAGAGGCCTGGATCTGAGGGAGGAGAGGTGGGCCAGGCAGAGGTAAGCAGGGAGAAGAAGGGCATCCCAGCTCTCTGAGGACTGACTGACCATTAGCGTTACCTTGGCTGAGTGGGGCTGAGCAGGGTATCTTCCTCTCTTCTGACACTGCATCACCAGCACCCTGTGAGGGAAGCTCAGGACCTCTGGAGTTGGGAGATACTTGGTGTGTGCGTAAAAGCAAAGGCTCTAGAGCCAGAGACCTGGGTTCCAGTCTCAATTCTTCCTTCACTAGCTGTGGGTCACCAGGCCAAGTGACTTAATCTCTCTAAACTTAACTCGTCAGTGTGCAATATGACTATATATGGGATAACATGTATAAACACTCAATGTGGGGCTTAGCACGGAGTAAGAACTCTGAATATTCACCATGTCAATATTCATTTAGATGCAAAAGATCTGAACTCAAGCCCACCCCTGTCCTTATAAAGCCCACCCCAGTCCTTTATAAACCTGGGCAAGTTACTCCCTCTTCTGAGTCATTTATGAAATGGAGTTAATGATTCCTGACTATCTTCCAGCATTATTTTGGAGTCTGTATGACATCATAAATGTGGAAGTACCTTGCACATTCTTATCGTTACAAAGCAAATAATCTCAAGGGCTTTGGACTTTCAGAAGCTTCTGATCTGGATAAACTGACAAAAAAAATATGCTTCACAGACTTGGCACAGTTATTTATAGCCTGGATCCCCTAAGCTGTAAAGTATTTCCTATGGGGGAGCATGCAACAGGACCCCTTGTTTTGGTTTTACTAATGAAACGGGTTTCATATGTTACCTGAGACCTGTAAGAACCACCTGAAACATCCTTGCCATCTACTGCCACTGCACTGCCAACATTTAGGATACGCTTACCCACTGCCATGTAGTTCAGGGGCAAGGGTGGGAAGAATTGAATAGCAGATGGGCAGAAGGCAGTAGAGTGAAAGTGAACGTCGGTACCAAAGAGACCTCCAAGGGAGTCGATGTCAGACAAGCACATGTAAAATCCCCTTCAGGTAGCTGGTGTTGCACAAGGGTGGAAAGAAATACAAAACCATAACCATAATGAAAATAGCTAAGGTTTTCAGAGGAAGGAGAACTCACTGGGGTCCGTATGAAAAGCCTTCCTGGAGAAAATCAGAACCGAGAGCAGCTGGAGTACTGGGAAAATAGAAGAGAACAGCAGGAAGGTACTAAAATCCGAGGCCATCTCTATCCTTTGGTTTTTTAGGACTAAGGGACGAGACTACTCTGGTGCTTTCAAGATAGCCCATCTGAAGGAGCCACTCCTGAGATTTAAAACTGCAAGAATGCTTTGGTCAGACCTGTGATCCAATGGGCTTCAGTGGGGGTTTGCAGGAGGCAGGACTTGTTGTCAGCCTTAATTTTGGTAAAAACACCCACTGCCCAACTCTTCGGCAATGAGTAGGAGAACAGCCCCTAACATTTATGAGCCCTTACCATGTGCCCTTAACACTTGTGTTAGTTGCAGGTTCTCCTTCATTTACAATGGGGTTATACTCGGATAAAACCATCATAAATTGAAAACATCCTAAGTCAAAAATGCTTATTTTCCACCAAATATTTTCGCTGTACAATGGTTTTGTCAGGACATAACTCCATCAATGTGTATCACTTTCGCACCACAGTAAAGTAAAAAAAAAAAAAAAAAAAAAAAAAAAGTAAGTGGAATTACTGTTAAGTCAGGAATCATCTGTAATTTCAGATTCACAGGAATGACATGATAAGGTCCTATTATTGTATTAATTATTTACTGCTATATAATGAATTACCACAAATTTTAGTGACTTAAAATAACACACATCTATTATCTCAAAGTTTCTGTGGGTCAGGAATCCAGGTATGTCTTGCCTGATTCCTTCAGCTCCAGGTCTCTCACACAGCTGCAATCAAGATATCAGCCAGCTCACAGTCACCTCATTTCAACTAGGGTAGGGTTCATTTCCAAGCACACTCAGTGGCTATTGGTAGGTCTTAGTTCCTTGCTGGCTGTTGGGCAGAGGATATCCTTGTTTCTTGCCATATAGACCTCTCAATATGGCAGCTTGCTTCCACATAAAGAGCAAGGAAGGGAGACAGCAAGATGGATTTAAATTGATTTCAGAGTCTTTTAAAACCTTATCTCACAAGTGACATCCTGTCACTTATGTGATATTCTCATTAATTACAAGGAAGTTACTAGGTCCACTCCATGAAGGGAATTGCACAAGAGTATGAATACCAAGAGGCTGGGATCTTTGGGGGGACACCTTAGAGGCCTTTCTACCATAAATATGATCTCCATTTTACACAAGAAGAAATGGAAGCTCAGAGAGTTTGGAGAACTTGCTTTAGGGTCTCATAGCTAATAAACTGGAAGGAGGATATGAATGTGGGTAACCTGAATCCAGAGTGCCAATGCCTTTCATCAGGATGCCCTCCAAATAGCATGAACTGTGCTGTGTGGAAGAAAGGCTTTCTTCTTCAGCTATTACCACTGCTGGGGGGGCTTGAGTTAAACCCAATTTATTGTGCCAGAGAATAATCTGTACATCTTGCCTGCCACAACTCAGATTCAGATAGCAATAATTGTGGCCCTGCTGGAGCACAGAGTAAAGCACTCATTAGAGAAAATCTTGGCCTTTGGAGGATGGAGACATAGAAAAAAAAAAAAAAAAACACTGAGTGCCTAGCTGGTGCCACCTCAGGGTCTTGGACTTTCATCCATGTGGGGAAGCATTATCCCCTTATTTTCATGGGGCTCTCTCTTCTCATTCAAGCTTCTGCTTCAGGTTTTTCTGTAACCTCTCCAACCTAAAACATCTGACATACCCATCCCTCTCTATTTTATTTTTTTGTTTTATTTTTATAGCATTTCTTCTGATTTGATGTCATTTTACTAATTTTGTGTTAAACTGATGATGCTCGGTCTTCTTGCACTGGAACATAAGCCTCACGGAAATCAGACCTAGTCTGTTTTATTTACCCTTATGCCCCTAGAACTGCATGCAGAAGGCTCTCAATGGATACTTGTGGATTGATTTGCCACATATATAGCAGACTAAGGGTTAATTGGTATTTAGGTTGTATAAATAATACATTCATAAGGAAGAGACAAATATCCAATGGAAAATCAACCAGAGATGTGAACAGGCATTTCCAGAAAAGGAATCCCGAAATGCAATGAGCTGGAGAGCCCCATTAGTAATCAGAAAAAGAAGATATAAATTTATTTCCAATTGACTAGCAAAAATTAAATGGTTTCACAACCAAGAATTATCAAAGCTAGTGATAAACACAAACACTCACATACTACTGGTGAAAATGTAAAGTGGTTCATCTACTTTAGAAAGCAATTTGGCAATATATAATTACATTAAAAATTAGCAGCCTGTATGGTCTGCAATTCCTCTTCCAGATGTATATTTTAGAGGAATTCTCAAAGATGTGTACAAGAAGACATGTGCAAGAATATTCATTACAGCATTGTTTTTAACAGTGAAAAGTTGGAAAACATTCAAACGTCCACCTATAAATAAATACAATGTACTATATATATAAATTATATTCAGCTGTTAAAAATAATGACCCAAACTATAATACAAATCTCAAAAACATGTTGACGTCCACTTCTGGTTCTGATGCAGTAGCTGTAGCAAACCACTGTTCTAGCTGAGAACAGTAAGAAAAACATTAAAAAAAAATTAATTGTCTTGAAGGCAGCAGAGAGCTGCTGAGGCAGCCAGGAGGTTAAGCTGCGTGCACAATTTTCTGAACTCCACTTTGATGCCTGCATTGGCTAATTCTTTGTGCAGGGGCCTGGGAAGCCTGGCAGAGGACAGTTGCTGAGAAATCTTAAGGCACTGAGCAGAGAAACATTGGAGTCTGCAACTGCCAAGGCACCTAGGACTCCAGGGGCCACAATGCCAGGGTGACTGTAGACTCAGGGAAATGACGCAATAGTCGATGGGCATCTAATTATAGAGATATCTGTAGCATGGTATTATTGGGAGAACTAATTAAAATGAATATGCCCAATGTGATGTCTTCTTGGCAGTGACTTTCCCTGCAGGAGGCAAGGTGGCATGATGAATGAGCCAAGGATGTCAGGATGGTGCATCTTTAAGAGATGCATCGCTGGGTAAATCCTATGTGAAATTGTCTAGAAGTAAAAGTTGTGAGTTTAAATCCCAATTCTAATCTTTCTTTTTTTGTTCCATTTCCTCCCCACAACTTCTATGTTACTTTGTATATTGTACCATATGGTAGAAAGTTGGAGGAATTTAAAAAGAGTCTGTAAAGTGCTCAAAATTGGAAATTACTTAAGTTTTCAAAATGCATAAAATTAATGAGAATTGCATAATAATCAATAGTGCTGAATTCATTTTAAGCTTTGTTTTCACTACTGCCCCATGGCAACGGTCTCTTTGTTAGCACGCACAAATCTGTCACCAGCCCATTCTGTTGTTTACCAAAAGGAGTTGGCAGGGGGTCATTTTTGTCACTACTCAGTGTTCTTATAATTAAATTTTTTTCTATATCTTATATCAATGTCACCCAAGGGTGCATTAAGTAGTGGAAATAGTGCTTTTGCTGAAAAACATTTCTGAGAATAAAAACATTAGGAAACAGGATTAGATGTGATAAAATACTATGATGAGGACCAAATATCTGCCAGGATAACTCGAGCAGTTGATTTAGGAAAACACTACAGATAACCTCATTGAACATGAAAAGCTCTATTAAACAGACATCTCTAAATTTTCAGAAAATCCTTATTGGCATATCCTATATTTATTGTTATAAAAGTAAGTTCAAAAGCAAAAACAAAAAAGTTACACTTTCTAATGGTACTTACAGATTTACAAGTCTCAAAAGTGAAATCTATCCTTCTTTACATTTGTGCCTGTAAGAAAATTAGCTTTGAATTATTCAAATGTGTAATTATGTGAAGTTTCCAGCAATGAATCATTTGTGTAGAAAGGGACTGTCTTGCACTGACCTCCACAGAAGCTCTCGTAGGCCATAGTTCTCTGTGGATGGCCCGTCTTCCTACCTAAAGACATCCTGAGAGCAGCATCCAACTCCCCCAGCCTGTGCCCTCCCAGCGCAGGGGCCAGGGAGGTTTCCCACAATCCTCTCTCCCCTAGGGCAGTTGTTGGGGGTCTGTGGGGCCAGGATTGCTCCCATACCTCCCAGAAACCTCACCCTGGGCCTAGGGGACAGGCCTAAGATTGCAGGGCTTCTGATGAGACTAATACAATGGGCTGGCTAAACCCTGAATAGTTAAAGTCTAGGAACTCGGTAAGGCGGTGAAAGCTCGGTGCAAATGACGGCTGCCTTCCAAGTCTTGATAATTTCAATACGTTTCTCAAACTTTGCAGAGAAGTCCGGCCTCTAGCCAGACTCTCACGATAACCCAAGGCAGCATCACCCTTGGATGTGCCTTTGCCTGGAGTCTCAGTCCCCAGAGCATGTGAAGCAGGTTGAAGGGTGGCAGACAGCATGGCCTAAATGCCACTAGGAGCAGGGGGCTTCAGCATCCCCGTCACAGCCTGTTTAACAAGTTCTCACTTTGGGCCTCAATTTCCTTACATGCAAAATGAAGCTTGCATTAGATTATTTCTGAAATTCCACCTTTTTTTTAATGGGCGTATGAAAATAAAAAGAAATTGACTATCCACCATCTCCCCCCAAAAAATTTGAACATAAATTTTACAACACACCAAACCCACAATAACCTTTCCTTCCCTTAGTGCTGATCCCTGCTACCTTGAGTTTAACAATGCTCAGAGACCTTTCCTGTGCTTTCTGTTTTATGATTTGAATATGACAGAGTCCAGAGGAAAGGAAGAAAATGTCTCCCTCTTCTCAGGACTATCCTTCTGTCTCCACCTCTCCAGCTGTGAAATGAGAATAACAATCACTACCATAAGGAAATACTTATCTCCAAGGGATATGGGGAAAGTTCATGAGATAATGGCGCCTGTAGCTGCCAGAGGAGGAGGAAGGGGAGCAGGAGTCCCTGACACCACCCCAAGGGGTGGTAGCTCTTTAAGGGTCACAGGGAATCGCTCCAGGGGCCCAGGTGGGAGCAAGATGGGAGTGTCAGGAGCGTAGATTTGCAGCTTGGTCTTATTATTACTATTGTTATTATTATTATTTTTTAACTTGCTGGGTTTTGGTTCCTTGCCTTTCCTTCTCCTGCTGGAAGATTCCGGAGTTAGAGACCCCAGGAACTCCTGTCTTGACATTCCCTTTTTCAGTACTTCTATTCCTGTCTTTGGGAACACTGTCAATATCCTGGCAAACCATTTGACATTTTTCCCCAGCAAAGCTGTTTCTGAGTCTGCATTCAAAGAGCAGACTTTCTTAAAATTAGAATTTGGTCCTGCTGCCCTTCAGCAATTTGAGGTATCCAATCCAGGGTTGAGACAGGCCAGTTTTATTTTTAGGTGTGGATAGTGCCTTGCTGTTCCCCACAGAGAATCTGAATCTTTTTGGCCTGTGGCCACACACTTATCCTCAAGGCCTCACCATGGCTGGGCTGTGTCAGCTCACACCTGAATCATTGCCTTAGCTGCTACCCAGTACCCTCCAATCTCTCGGTGCTTCATCCATCCCTCTGGGTGCCCTTCCGGCCCCAATACTTTTATCAGCAGCCTTCAGCACCTCCCTAGTCAAAGAATCAACTCACAGCTACCTATGCCACATCTGTCTGGGATTTTCAAATACAACACTTTGCTTTTTCATCCTGATGAGCTTTTGAGGGCGGTAGGCAGTCTTATTATTGTTTCAATCTTAAAAATTAGAAAAATGGGGTATAGAGAGTAGTTTGCCCCAACTCAGTGTTACAGATGGAAAGCCAGAGAGGAACCCTAGGACGACTGGATGGAAATATAGGGCTCTGTGTATGCTTGATGGGCTTTCTTCCTTTCTTGGTGATTTTCGGCCTTCACTGAGCATTAGAATCACATATAGAGGACTGAAAAATAATAATTGTTCCAACTCATTCCCCCAAATCCTGTCTGATTCAGCAGGTCTGGGGACTGGTATAGGCATTTTCAAAATGGTGAGACTGTGGTTCTTCCTAAATTGAAAACCACTATCCTCTCAAGTAAAGACCTAATCGTCTTTTCTAGCCTTACCTCCCATGTTATCCTTATCCAGATACCAACCTTGGGTCAGGCCAGGCTGGTAAATTCATTGTGTCCTGGATTTCTCTTGCTCTATCTGGCCTGTGCTCCTTTGTTTCTATGAGATCCTCTGCCTAGAATGTTCTTCCCAGTCCTCTATCCCTACCCAAGAATTCTCCTGCCAGGGTTCAATTCAATCCTGCCTTTTCCAGGAAGGCTGCCATGAATCTCCACGGCCATGGGGATTCGCCCTTCATGGAATCCTTAGTTTACTCATAGCCAGGAGGAATTATTTTGGCATTTATCATTTATTGCCTTATGTTGCTACAGATCTGTTTCATGGGTTACTCTTATCTCTGCAGAGGGACTGCAAGAGTCACAGAGAGTGTGAGAGAAGGCAGAAAGAATGAATAGAGGATTCAGAGTCAAGAGTCTTGGGTCTGACCCCTGACCCAGCCAACTATTGGTGACATGACCCCGAGCTGATCATGGTTTCCTTACTGTTATTTTTGCTATCATTTGTTCACTTTGTCTTAGAGTTTTAGTGGTCTTCATTCCAAAAAGAAAATAATGTAGGAAACCAACAATTTCAAGATTCTGTATCAAAAAGCACCTAGCAGCATTCCTGTAATCTCAGAAGCTCTCAGTATCTTGCAGGTCTCAATCTGAGACCTAAATCCAAGCCTTCTGTCCAATTCTGTTCTAATTATACCATACTAATGTGAAGACTTGGATTTTCTGAAAAAAACGCAACTTAAAAAATGTGATTTTTCGTCACATCCTAAATGCAAGGAAATCCCAGGTCTTCACCTGTAAATATGTGTCGAACTAAAGAATGAGCAAATGAAGCACAACTGGAGTTCTACAGGAAACACGCGAAGAGGAAAAAGAGAAGGAATGATCACACCTGACAAGGAAGGTCTGAAACGTCTTTGAAGATGTGACATTTAGCTGTTGAGGTTTTAGGACATAAATAATTTCTCTCTTCCTCTGAGGATTCAGAGTCAATTCAGTATGGGCACTAGGGCCAGAAGGAAGAAACTCAAACTATCAGTTGGTAACTCTGGATTGGAGAACAGGCCTCTTTCCCCTGCCTTTGCAGTATAAACCCTTATGAGGGCAGGGCCAGTCCCAGGCAGACGTTCTCACCCTTCCCACTACAGAGGGCATTACTCCTTCATGCCAGTCCTGCCCCCGTGGAGGGACTTGCCCTGAGCACGGGGCTTCATGACTGCCTCTAGACGGCAACCACAGGGAGAAAGTAAGTGGGAGCCAGGCAAGAAGCCCTTGATCTGCAGGCAGGAGGAGCCCTGAAGACGGAGGGATGGTGGAGCTGAGCTGGGTATGCTCAGGTTCTGATCCCAGTTACTCCTCTTCTCCTAGGAAGAGCGAGTCAAAGATGGAGTCAGGGGCTGGGAATGTTCCTCCATCTTTTCTCCTCCTAAAGAGAGTGGTGAAACTCTCGACTTTGCCTCTCCTCTCTGTGGAAATAGGAGGTACGGGTAAGCATTTCTCCCTAAAAATGGTCATGATGATAGCAGGCAGACATTTAAGGACAAAAAAGAATCAGAGGAAACTGTATGTATAAATTGTACATATGCATGCTTGATGTGTGAAAATGTGGAATATGTACATGGAAGGGGGTGCACCCTGGTGCATGAGGCCTGTGGTGCACAGAAGAAACTAGAAGAGAAGAAGGAAAAAATGATATTGCCAGATTTTGAGAGCCTCAAATTCCAGGCTTAGGAGTTTGACTTTGATCATCAGGCAGTGAAAATCTATGCCTTTTATTGGAAACATAACTCTAAAGCCTCTGCCTGCACCAGCATAGCAAGCAGAAAAACTGGCCTTAGCCACCCCCTCCACTTGACCTACTTGTGAGCAATCCTAGGTGGAGTCTCCTGGACTCCAGAATAAGATCATGCTGCACATTCACCTAAAATATATTGCAGGAATTCTGCAGCCAAATATCCTTGACATGAATACAGAAACAACAGAAATACAACAAGCAGATGACTGAGAATTGGACCCACTGGTGGGGATTTGGAGGTGGCAGAGTGCAGCCTGTGGAGTGTTTGGCCCTGAGGGTCACATCATTCTGAGGACAGGGCAGAGCTGCAGGTGAGCACTTAGTGAGGGTCAGAGGTAGCATGCAAACATGAGCTTTGGACTCATTAACTCAAGTAAGAAACAGCACTGGGGGAAATAAAGGCTGACCCATCAACAGAGGAATTATATTCAACTCTGGCGAGAACCACGCCAACAGTCCAAGCAATTTAAGAGATGTACTTAACTAGTGTGAGGAGGAGTCCTCTAATTTCTGTCTCCAAATTGGATAGCATGGACTCTTTACATTTATTCAGCACACTGCAGTGTGTGAAGCCCTTTCACATAACATTACTCATGAGTTGTCACAAACAGCTCTGTGAAGCAAGGAGAGCTAGGGGAGTACAATCCCCATTTTAGGAAACTGAAGCCATGAGTTCCATGAGGAGGTCTCAACTCAGGCCAGCTCTCCCTCTGGCTCCACTGTAACCTTGTGGTTTTATTGATGGGGGCTTTCCTTGAGGAAGAGGATGCAGGAGTTGATCTGGCTCATCAGTCTGTCCCCCTGTGGAGGTAGAGGCCTGCGCTAGAGAATATTGTTATGGTCCTTCATCCTGTAAGGTACCATCCACACGTACTATTTCCAAAGTGACTGAATTTGCTTAATCCAAAGTGGTTAAGTAGAATGACAAACAGAGATGGGGTGTTAAAATTAGGGTTAACTGACAAGATTAAGAACGTCCTATACTGCTAGATTTATTTTCCTCCTTTCCTGGTCTTTTAAATGGGCCTAAAATATATAAAAGTGGATACAGAGATACAAATTGGTAGCTCTAGGGCCAGAAGATGTTTAAACTAGTGTTTTAAAAAGCAATAGTTTGAACATCAAATTCAAGTCATGTACCTTCCAGTTTGACAAGGTTTGTACCATTCCCTATTGTCTTATATCAGACCCACTTTTATTCCTTCAGTCAGTCAACAACAACTATTTACTCTACGCCTGTTCTGAGCCGGGCGTTCCCCCATAACTACATTTTCATTACCTGCCTGGGCCCACAGACACTTGAATAACTGGTCTCCACCCTAGACCACAATCGAGGGGAGCTCATGTTTGACGAATGCTCCTTTATTCCTCTGAGCGTAACCTCCGTACCTGAAGTTTACATCACCTCGAAGCTAGGGTGTTGTAACTAATGTTCACCCTGGGTCTTCAGAGATTGGTTTTTCCAAAGACTCTGCTGCTTTTCCTTTTAAAATCCCAGAGCCAGAGGCAAATGGTAGGCATTCCTCTCCCCAGAGCCCAAATAGGTGGCTGAAACCTGGAAACTTTCAGGGACTTGCCAAAGGCCCCAAAGGTAGCAGGGAGGCCTCCCGGAACGACTGGTCCTCTTGATTCCAAGCCCAGAGGTAGATCTCCTGTCCTTGAGGGGCTTTGGTTTCAGACCCTGCCTGAGAGAACAAAAGAGACTTCAGTTGTCACATCGACACAGCCCCGAGCTGCTCTATTTTCTAACTTGGCTGGCTTTCCCCGTGTGCTGTTTCACATCAGATACCTCCTCCCCCCACTTTCCTTCAGATGATTGGTTGAAATTAAATATCCTGAAATTACATTGAAGGGGGGGGGCGCTAATACAAAATTTTAATCAAAATACAAGCTTAACAGTTCCCAGCCTTTGAAATGTGAAGCAGACACTGGGTCCGCAGGGATGCCCCGACATGTTCTCAGGTGTGAAGTTAGCCAAGGAAGGGGCCCATTCTCTGAACATGAGAATTGCAAGTAAACCAGCACATTGCAAACTCAGGATTTCCAAATGAGGCAGGGCCTTCTCTCCCTTTCCACAGCGTGCATGGGCAGGCTGGCCCAGAGGGAAGTTCTCACTGAAGACACTGGAGGAGAAAGGGTCCCTCGTGAAAGGGTCTGGGGGTTCTCCCTGCCCCACCTGGCTTTGATCCATAGGTATGCCATCCAGGGCCTGAAAGCTCAGGAAGGAAAGGACTGGATAAAGGAGCTTGCAGGGGAGGCAAAACCCCTGATATAGCAAGAGCCACTCTGATGGAATGAGGCAGACATCGGGCGCCCTCTGGTGGCACATGCCCCACCAGACAACACGGAGGCTTTCTCCCTGGATTAACTCTATAAATAGAAGGATGATTTATTAAACAGATTTGAGGCTCATTTGAAGCACTGGGCCATGATTGCTTCGGGGCTCAAATAAGGAGGTGCTTAGGACCCTGCCTCTTATGCAAACACCTGGACTCACTTAGCAAGTCACTAGCATGATCTACATTACAAGTGCATCGGACACTGTTGGCTCAGCCGTTCCCAGCCAGGAGATGCCAAATTCCTCATATATAAAAGGAGCTTTAGTAACTCAAGCAAAATAAGCACACTTTTCCCCCCACTGCCTTCCCAGAGACCTAGGCGGCAGAGTTTCTGTGAGGATACACAATACCTTGTTACAAACCATGTAATGTTTTAAAAAGTATCTATCTGACAGCCTTGGCTAAAGCCAGATCTTCTATCTCGATTACTTCAATATGTCACATCCATATCGCACCACAGCGTCCAAGCTTTCGGAGCCAAAGCCTCTCTGTCTTGTCCAACCTTCCCATCTGGAAGCAATGAGCTTAATATTCTGGCTCTCCCCCCGTAAAAGCTATGTCACAAAAAAAGTAGCAGCCTGTGAACTGCTTTAGCCCCCCAAGACACACCAGAGCTCCTCATTCTCTGCAGGCTCTGTTCAGTCACATTTTAAGGCCCTCCCCTGCTCCTCCCCTCCCTTGCTGCCCCTGTCTTCCAAACAGCCTGAGATGCTCAGCGCAGTACCAGGAGGACAGGAGTGAACTGACAATCATTTATACTTTAATCCTCCTTTACGACATTTTGAGGGATGCAGCTTAAAATATCATGGAGGCTGACAGACTCCCTCTGGAAAAATGTGTCTGCTAGAGAAGAAGCATTGCCTTACAAGGACCCTACTGTTTCTGGTGACCCATCAGAGACCCAGCTTTGAAGCCTGTCTTGTACCACGTCTCCCACTCACCTTACCTTCTCCAACACTGCCGGAAAGTTTCAGTTCATGGTGACAATGACCTTCCCTATTGCATGTGCCTTAGTCATTCATTGATTCACTTACTCATCCAATTTGGATTGACTACATGGCATGTCCCTTTCCATGTTCTCTGTTTCACTGCAATGTCAAATGAGTCCCTGGCTCCCAGGAGCCTGAGTCTGTGAGGGAGACCAACCCCACTCCAGAACCATCAGATGAGTGTTCCTCAAAGCATGTTTCATGGGTCACTGCTGCGTGGGAACCTTTTGGGTGCCTGTGAAGCGTGCCTACGTCGTGGCCCTTGCCCAGGCCTCCCAAAAGAGGATCACTGGACGCCAGGCTTAAGAATGTGCATGTTTAATAAAATTCTCCAATAAGTAATTTCTACACACATTAAAATCAAGAAACCCACCGAGTTAGGTCAGATGAAGCAGCAAATGATGTTGCGCAAAATGCGAAAAGAGACCGTGGGTACGGAAGACAGAACTTGGGCTTTGCCTGGAAATGATATAATGCCGCTGCTCGGTCCCAAGTCCCTAGGTTTTGGAAGATTGGTGTGAGTGGAAGTCACCCTCCAGCGGAGCACCTAGGACTTTGGCTCCTTGACTGTTCTCCTTCGCCTGGAAGCTTCTGGGGGCAGAGGCCAGCTTTCCTGTGTTGAGTTCTTGGGAAGGGCCTCTGTGTCCTGGAAGGGACTTGAAAGAGCAGCTCATCTAAGCTCTTCAGTTTGTAGGAAACACATCTAGCTGACCAAGGGAAAGTAGGCTGTTCGAGGTCACACAGTCACTCAAAACAAATTTATTTAGGCTAATTCTTTGGTTTGGAGACATCAATACTTGGGAAGAAGCCAAGCTCATGTTTCTTAAGGCCTGTATTCTCCAATGTCCTAACGCATTACCCATTCACTGAAAAAGAATACACTAAAGAGTTTTAAAAAGTGCTCATCCGAGAGGCATTTCACAGGCGGGGTTCAAGTGGCCCGGCTTCCACAGGCGATATGCACAAAACCTGCTTCCTGAAATGCCATTTGGTTGCACTGGAGTTAACCTCTTTTTGGTAAATTAGTTCATGACCTGGGAACAGTTAAATGAAACTGTAGGCACATCAAGAGGAGGTTATTTGTGTTCTGTCTTTTTTTAGCCCAAGTCTCTGATGTGTTTATTTGGAAGCTTGGCTCACGCTTACTATCCCACTACTTACGGTTAATCCTGTGTTTTCTTTGAGCTACCTTTAAAACCACGTCAAATGAAAAATACTGCCTGATTTTGAAGTGCGTGGTATTATAAAAAGAATCCCAAGGTTTATGATCTCAAATTTATTGTCAAATGTATTTACTTATCATTTTCCTTTTCTTTTCTTTTTTTTTTTCCTGACAGAATTCAGCCTAGAAGTTTTTCGTATGAGTCATGATGGAGCAGGGATGGGAGATGTTATATAGTGCTTCCTGGGGAACTCTGTGCTACCAAAGAGCTGCCCATAGAGAGTGTTCCTCAGTTACAGCCTCTTGAAAAGCAAGTTAGTTTCAAAGGGCAGGGACCACATCTGATTCACCCCTTTGCCATTAGTATCTAACACTGTGTTAGGCACTCAGGGGCATTCAGTATGTGTTGGCTGGATTAGTGGCCACTGAAATGAACATGAAGCCGGCGCTTCCTTTTTTGTTTTTATTGAAATGAGCTTTTAAAGAGCTGAAATAGGTTTGTTATTTTTTATATGTCCATGATACAAAAAGACTAACTTTTAGAAAATAAAATGTTCTTTTAAAAACAGTTTTATATTCAGTTAAATATTCTGAAAATGACTAAAATTGTATAAATATACACAGGTATCTGATGTTTGCTTTGTACTAGTTATAAAGCAAGATTCAAAAAAAGAAGGTGGCTTTTTATAACAATTTTTTAAAACTTAAATCTTTTCAGACATGGAATCAACCCAGGTGCCCATCAATGGTGGATTCAATTAAGTCAATGTGGTCCATATACACCATGGAGTACTACACAGCCATAAAAAAGAATGAAATCATTTCCTTTGCAGCAACATGGACACAGCTGGAAGCCATTATTCTAAGCAAACTAACGCAGAAACAGAAAAACCAAATACCACATATGCTCACTTATAAATGTAAGCTAAACATTGGGCACACATGGACATAAAGATAAGAACAATAGACACTGGAGAATACAAAAGTGGGGAGCAGGGTGGGGAGGGTGGAAACAAACTGTTGGGTACTGTGCTCAGTACTGAGTGACAGGATCAATTATACTCCAAACCTCAGCATTACACAACAAATCTTTGTAATAAACCTGCACATGTACCCCTGATTCTAAAATCAAAGTTGAAAAAGAAAAAGAAAACACCCCAAATCCTTTTCATCAGAACTGTTCTTTTTTACCTGTTTTAGGAATCAGGATTGGTTAATTTTGGACTTTGGAGTATTCTCAGTAGGACCTGGAGGAGCTACCATGTCCTCCACCAAGGCACTAGGAAAGTCAGCTTCTTGATGTTTAAGGATGAATCAGGTGGCAGAAATCATAGTGGCACCCCCAGCTGTCCCTCCTTCCTCAGCTCTGTGGCTTCTGTCATCTACAAAGGACTGTGGGTAGGATGTGAGGCAAGGATGAAAGATGGAAGAAGAGACAGAGGGGAAGAGAGAAGGGAATCCACCCACTTTCACTCTCTTTTCCCAGCCACCCTGGATACCAACACACATACGCTCAACATGGCATGTGAAGAGACACAAAACACTTTTGCTTTTGCAAGTTATACGATGGCTTTCACTATGTTCTCAACTAGAGTCATTCAAGGCTCATATTTTGAAGCTGCCAACACACCCTGTGATGGAGGAGAAAGAACATTGATAAATCTTAGTGGTTCCTTCAATGTCTGGCTGTCTTGTCCCATACCCCAAGACCTTGGGCTTAATTGCTCTATTTCGTTCTATACTTGTTTCCTGGGGTCTATCTCACCTCCCAATCAGACTACACACAAGCTCCAGAACCAAAATATGTGTTTCTCCCTTTCTCTGCCTAGCTCAGTGATGGGCACATTATAGATGCTTGCTAAATATTCAATAAATCCAAGAGATGCTCCATAGCCCAGACACACCCATCACCTTCTGTAAGAATTCTCTCCAGATTTCTCCAGGCAGGAGACAACCCGGATACCTCTGGGAGATTTAAACAGACTTTAGGAACCTGCAGAGCCATGTTTCCAGTTGACCTCTGAGCTAACTATAAATTTTGAGATAATGGTTAAAACCCACAAAGCTTCCTAGAAATGCCGCTAGACTACATTAGGCAGATTAAGAATCGCAAGATAAATATTTTGCACATTTCCTTCTATTTATCAAGACTCTGCCTTCTGGGGCTGTGGTATTTCAGATGACTCGACTCCTGCAGGGTTAAATCGACTCCATTTGGGTTCACTCTAAACAAGCTCACATTCCAGCCTTGCAGTCACATTCCTGACTCGCACACGCAGGGCCCTCAGCAGGCCTTAATGCACCTTTCACATCCGAACCGTCCATCAGACATTAATGTGACGGAGCCATCACCAGACAAGTTCATTTTGCCATTAATATCCTGGAATAAGAACGTCGAATATACACATCCTGAGATTTAATCTGTAAACAGAGCCCTGAGCGTCTGGGAGAAGGAGGTGTGTTTATACTTCGTTACTGCTACTTCCACCAAGTTAGGTGGGGCTATCTCTGGCACTAAGCAGAGATGTTTTCTCAATGGTTGGAGGGTAAAGTCTGAGACGACGTTTTGACCTGCAATGTCTGCACCCTGATGGCTGATCCTGGGAATGGAGTACCAGGGCTCTCCCAGTTGACAACAAACCTCATTCTGAGAGGCCCCAAATGCCAGGGACAGTGCAGTTGTGTTCGGCTAGTGTTTATCTCTGGCCACCTCTGCAGGAGACTCATGGGGATGACTCCCCTTCTTCCAGGAAATGACAAGGGTACAGAGACAAAGGCATCCTCTGTAGTCCCAAGATTCTAAACTCTGCTGTCAGCAGCCATCACTTCAGGGTGTAGGATCCAAAAGCAAATTTGAAAAGAGTTTAGTGATCATTTCTAAAGTATCAAAGTATGTGAGAGACTGACAGCTTGAGTTCCTCAGAACAAATAATTGCCAGCTTCATCTTTTCCTGCCTATGCCAAAAATTAGCCTGTCCCATTTACTGTAAGAGCAAAAGCTTCTGTTTCTTCTACCCAGTTCAGTGGGACTACAGTTACTGATTTAGGATTAGGAGACATTAGAAGAAAGGAAAACTTATTTTCTCAGAAGAAGAAGAAAGAAAAGAAGGAAGCAAAAAAAAAAACTGTTTGAAATAAGGGTAAAGCATTGCCTTAGAAACTGATTTTGAACAGATTTCCTTTCCTTAAGAGGAGAAGACTCAAACTGGCAGCTACAGAGCACACCCAGCTCGGAAGTATTTTGCTTGGCCCCATCAGGGTTGGCCTGGGGAGTCCCTTTGAAACAGAGGCATGCGTTTGGCTCTGAGAAACTTATTATTTCTACAGATTTGCCCTCTAACACCCAGAGGGAGACACAGTGAAGCCTGGGAAGGATGTTAACTCTTGGTGGCACTGTGGTGGCACTGTCTAGACAGAAGCAGGCCTGGGAAGGATCCAGTGCAGACAGTCACCTCTAATTGAGGGCAGGGGGTTATTTATCACTGCTCCCTCTGCTCCTGCTCCCACGCATGCCCTGATTGCCCCACTGCCAGCAACTCCCAACAGGTATCACACACATGCACACACCACACCCGCATGCACACACTTTCTCACTATTTGATATGGCAACAAGGAGTTGCAGCTGAGTGTGAGCAGTCTCCTTTTGTATAATATATGCTTTCAGTGTGCCATACTCACACACATTGACCTGCCTGGCCCTGTGGGCACTGGACTTTGTAAGCACCCTGACATCTGCTTTGTTTTATAGGGTCTAGAACTGTCTGTTCTTTCTTTACCTCTGGGAAGACTGGGACTTATGGTGCAGCCACCAGATAGGAGATCTGGTGCTGAGCCCCAGGCTGGGGCAGCAGGAAAACCACACCCAGTTACTTCCAGTCTGTTCTCTCTCACCAAGGTTCCCTGTCCCTCCAAGAACTAATGCACAGAAACTCTCTCACTGGTGGACACTCCATGGTTAATATTCTTCTCTTTTCTTCTGTGATCAAAAGAAATTCTGTTTCCTCATAGATGCTGGAAGTTCCCTATGGAGAAAAAAAATATTATTATTTCTCATCTTTTTGCACTCATGGGCTAAGAGCTTCTCAAACCCCAAGGGCTCTGCTCACAATCACCAAACGAAGGAAAAAGCAGCTGGAAATGCAGCCCGGAGATGTGTTCCCAGGAGTTGAGACTCTGGCTCCCGTAGATTGCACCTCACACACGCACACCCTGTCTGTCTGTGTGCATTTAGAGCACGTTCTCAAGATCGAGTCTGATTCTCACAACGACCCCAAGTAACCACAATGACAAGTGTGATGAGTTTCCCACAGTTCACAGAACAAGATGGGAAGAATGGTCCAGAATCATCCCACAGGTTAGTGGTGGGGCTGGGACAAAGAATCCTTTTGTCTGGTTTCCTCCATTATTCTTTGCCTTCTGCAATACAATATTTTACATATTAAGAATCCCAAATAAATCAAGTAATGCTATTTAACTTCAAGCTAAGGCTAAGGTAAAATAATTTCCTAATTAATTCTTTAGAAAATTGTACTAATAGCGTAAATGATTAGAGAGGATGAGAATGACCAGTGGTGGTGGTGGTGGTGGTGGTGGTGGTGGAGGAGTAGGAAAAGGTGGGGCAGGAAAAGCAGGTGATTTAGACACTGGAATCTTATCACTTGGAACTTTTTGGATTGCAATTGCATAGCTACGTTCACAGAAATTGGAGTAATAGCAATACTATGGGGACACAGGTTTTGGTACCTAGCAAGAACCAGATCCTGGGATTTGATCTAGCTCGTCGCATTTAATTTTTATAGCCTCACATCTGTGTGTGAAGGAGGCATTTATTATTATTCCCATATAACAAATAATTGTCATTTAGTTGTGGAATCCATTTTAACAGGCCAGAATGTATCAAGAGCCCTCTGAATATCTGAAATAGAACAACAATCAGACACAGAAAGACAAATACCACATGACCTCACTTATATGTGAAATCTAAAAAAAAAAAAAATCAAATTCACAGACGTAGAGAGTAGAAAGGTGGTTAGCAGAATCTGGGGAGGGGTGGGTTGGGAAAACAGAGATATTGGTCAGAGGGTACAAGTTTCAGTTAGACAGGAAGAATAAGTTTACAGATCTATTGTACAGCATGGTGACTATAGTTAACAAAATGCATTATTGGTCAACTGATGGTCACAGTCAATTAATAGTGCATCATGTGTATATATCAGGAGAAAAATAGATGCAGGGCACATAGTTAATATAATCTAATATCATAAACATATTTGTGTATATATATGTGTGTATTTATATACACATATGTGTGTATATGTATTTATATAACCCACATACATATTCAAACATGTGTCTATAAAATACCAAAACAACACTAGTAAAATAATGATTGGGTGTTTAATAATTTTCTCATTCATTTAATTTTATAAATTCACAAATAAATTTGTAGTTTTTATTATCATAAAAATTATAAAGCATGTAATCCCATCACTTTGGGAGGCCAAGGTGGGCCAATCACGAGGTCAAAAGATGGAGACCATCCTGGCCAACATGGTGAAACCCTGTCTCTACTAAAAATACAAAAATTAGCTGGGCGTGGTGGTGTGCGCCTGTAGTCCCAGCTGCTCGGGAGGCTGAGGCAGGAGAATCGCTTGAACCCAGGAGGCGGAGGTTGTAGTGAGCTGAGATCACACCACTGCACTCCAGCCTGGCAACAGAGTGAGGCTCTCTCTAAAAATAATAATAATAATAAATAGTAAAACTTATCTCACAAATGAATGACATAAGCTTCTTTCTGATACTGATTGTTAGAAATCCTGAAATCTATGTAAAACAGCCATCCTTTCCTCCAAGACCCCACGTGTCACTGGAGCCACAATATTGAGCTTACTCTAACATAGCTAAGATGTCAAGAAAGAAGACAATTTCAGCTTAAGTAGTGTGGCTGGTTAGGTTTTTTGAGTAAGTTCTCCTTCTGAAAATATCTGAAATGCTATCCAAAATATATTTTTATATAATAAACACAGAAGAGCTTATAATATAGTAAGAAATTATCTGGTCAAAATCTATGTAAAGGCAGGAAACCAGAGATGTAAGGGGACACTCATGGCCACATTTTCCTGAGAGTATTGGGCAAATCAGATTAAAATACAGAGTGTGGAAGCCACACACCAAAGGCCACGCTTTCCCAGGAGGAGAATCCGCTAAACAACATATGCCTGTAAAGCTGGGATCCAACCAAAAATAAATCTGTTTTGCCTAATACACCACAATAAACCTGTGTCTCTCCTTTCCTGCAGGGGCCACATAGAAATCTGCCTTGGTACTGAGAAAATAGTCTCTGAGAAGTTGTCACCACAAATTATCCCTAACACATACTGAGAGTCCAAATTCACAATAATTGTTAAAAATAATCTTCAGACCAGGCACGGTGGCTCATGCCTGTAATCCCAGCACTTTGGGAGGCCGAGGCGGGTGGATCAGGAGGTCAGGAGTTCGAGACCAGCCTGGCCAACATGGTGAAACTCCATCTCTACTAAAAATACAAAAAAATAGGAAGGCATGGTGGCAGGTGTCTGTAATCCCAGCTACTTGGGAGGCGGAGGCAGGAGAATTGCTTGAACCCGAGAGGCAGAGGTTGCAGTGAGCTGAGATCATTCCACTGCACTCTAGCATGGGCGACAGAGCAAGACTCCGTCTTGGGGAAACAAAAATAAAAAAATAAAAAATAAATCTTCAAACTGCGCAGATTCAAATTGCAGAGGCAAATATCAGTACTCTCTGGAGGAATGCACTATCATTCTATCCTTGAAGAAGGCCCAGAAATAATTTTCCAAATAAACGCAGCAGCTCACAGTCCAAAAAGAACAAGGAGACAATAAACCATAAGTAAGAAGCAGCAAACAAACAAACAAAGGCAACAGGCAAAGTTTTGCAAAGACCTAAGATACTAGAATTGTCAGACACAGTTTAATAAATAATTAACTATATTGTGTTTAAATACATTAAAAGGAAAGCTTTAAAAATCTGTGGAGTGGAAATCCACAAAAAATGACAGCAGATTTGACAAAAATTAGAAATTTTTCAAATAAAGAGACGATTAAAATTAAAAACTCAATGATCAGTTTTAACCATAGATTAGAGACAGCTAAAAAATAATTGGTAAATTGTAAAACAGATTCAGAATAAATCATCCAGATTATAACATAAACAAAGAGACCTATAATGTGATAGAGAAGTTATGAGACATAAAACATTAAGTGAAATGGTCTTAGCATATTTTCAGACTCCCAGAAGGAGGGCATAGATAACATGTTTAAAAAGAAATATCTGAAGATATAACAGTTTAGAAATTTCCAGAAATGGCAAAAGACATTAATTTAGAGACCCAAGGAATTCAATGAATCAGAAACAGAAAAAAATTAAAGAAAAGCCAAGTTAAACACATTATAGGAAAACTGGTGAACACCCCAGAGATAAAAAGCTGAAGCTTGGTGGTGTTGGTGGTGGTAATGGCAGGGCACTGAAGGGAAGCGTTGTCTTTAAGGCAATGATAGACGAACAGCTGACTTTTGAACTGCAGCAATTGAATCCAAAGAAATGGAATGATATCTTTATTTTGTGTGTTTGTGTGTGATGGGTGCTGTGAGGGGTACTGCTGTCCTCAAATTCTCTATCCAGAAAACACATCTCTCAGGAATGGGGGCAAAACTAAAACATTTTCAGGTAAATTAAACTATATATTTCTTAGCAGCTGACTCTCACTAAAAGAAATTCTGAAAAAAAAAATTTCAGGCAGAAGAAAACTGATGCCAGATTGAAGGTCTGAGCCATAGGATGGAATAAAAACAGAGAAAGTGGGAATATGTGAATATCTAACAACATCTGACTCTATTCAGATTGCTGTCACAAATTACCATAAAGTAGGTGGCTTGTAAACAATAGAAATTCATTTCTCACAGTTCTAGAGGGTGGGAAGTGCAAAATCAAGGCAGCACCAAATTTGGTGTCTGGGGAGGGCTCACTCTGTATTTCATACTTGGTGCTTTCCTGCTGTATCCTTACATAGCAGAAGGGGCTAGCTAGCTCTCTGGGGTATCTTTTTGTAAGGGCAGTAATCCCATTCACGAAGGCAGAGGTTTCATGAGCTAATCACCTCCCAAGAACTTCTAATACCTCCTTCTAACACTGTCACATTGGGCTTTCGATTTCAACATATTAATTTTGGGAGGGACACAAACATTCAGTCCATAGCAAGTACTGCCTATATAAACATTAAGATAATGTCTATGGGCATACAAGACAAAACTAAACATGTAAGTTAGAAAGCGGGTAACTAGAGCCAATGCAATCTAAAATTATTACACTGTGCAGAAAGGGTAAAAATGTTGATTAATTTCAGACTTTTATGAGTTTAGAGTTTATGCCTTAATTTCTATGGTAATTGCTAAAATAACAGAAACAGAGTGCATATTTACTAGAGGTTAAAAAAATAGAATGATAAAAACACTTCCCATCAAAGTTAAGACAGAAGAAGAAAACAATATAGAAGAACAAATAGAAAGGACAAAATTATATAAAAGATAAATCCATATATAACATACAATATAAATATAGAATAAATGTTCTAATTAAAAAATAAAGATTATTAGACAGATTAAAATATTCATGTGGAAGCTTTTTATAAGACACATATATAAACCATAAAGATACAAATAATTCAAAGTAGAAACATGAAAAATAAATACTGATCACCCACAGGAACTGCTATAGCTATACTAATACCGAACAAAATAGATTATAAGGCAATATGCATAAAATATAAATAGCATCACTTTATAATAATACATAATTTTATTTACTGAGAAAATATAACAACTCTAAATTTATAAATGTTCATTAATATAGCTTCAAATATAGTTTGCTAAAGTTGACAAAATTACCAGAAGAAATAAGTAAATTCAGAATCAGAGGAAGAAATCTTAACACACCTCTCTCAGTAGCTGATAAAAGTTCAGTCTCCTCTCTCTCAAAAAAAATAAAAATAAAAACCCTAAAAAATCAAAAAATAAATATTGGACACAATTTTTTAAACATTATATTATATATATTATATTTTTATTGTATGTTTTCTATGTTTAGATAAACAAATACCATTGTGTTACGATTTATTCAGCACAATTTTTAAAAGAACAGTTCATTATTTAAAAGATCTTGGCAACAAAAGTTGGAAGAAAATATCATTAAAAGAGGGTTTATATTAATAAAAAGCCTGCTACAAATATAATTAATGGTTGAAAGTTTTCCTTCTGAGTTTTGTACTGCGACAAGGAGGGCTATTGCTCCCCTTTTAAAAAATGATTATACTGAATATCATAAACAGTGGGATAAAGCAACAGAAAGACATCATACAAATGTTAAGAATTAGACAGAAACAAAATTGTCATTATTTACTGATGAAACAGCTGCATATGTGGAAATTCAAAAGAATCTGTAGACAAATTATAAGAAAGAAAAGTTTCTGGGATCTCATATTATATATATATTTAGCTAGTCAACAAATATATGATTTTTACAAAATATATATTGCATATATACATTATCATATATACATTATACATTACCATATTTATACATTATATATGTATATATATTTGCAGTAAGTCACTAGAAAATGAAATTTTAAATTATACAATTTATAATAACATCAAGAAATAGAAAATATCTAAACATAAATCTTGCAAAAGTTATGCAAAAGTTTTACAGAAAATATTGTGAAACTTAGATAAGAGTTATTGCAGAAGACTTAAGTAATTGGAAGAATATACTGTGTTTATGATATCTGGAAGACTTCATATTTTAAAAATGTTGATTCTTCCCAAATTGGCTTATAGGTTCAGTGCAATGTCAATCAAAATTCTAAAAGAGGGATGTGTGTGCGTGGAACTTGAAAAGTTGTTTATCATTTTTTTTTCTTCAGAGACAGGATCTTGCTCTGTCTCCCAGGCTGGAGTGCAGTGGCACAGTCATAACTCGCTGTGGCCTCAAACTCCTGGCCTCATGTGATCCTTCCACCTCAGCCTCCCAATGTACTGGGATTACAGAGGTGAACCACGGTGCCCAGTCTGACAAGTAGTTTTTAAATGTATATGGAAAAGCAAAAGGAGAAGAGTGACAAAGACATTCTAGAAAATAACAAATGAAGAGTATTTGCTTTAAAGGAAATAAATACTTTCTGTGAAGCTATAATAATTAAGACTGTGGTATTGGTTCAGGGCAAGGAAGTAGCAAACAGTACAACTCAAACAAAATTATGTACATATGAACCCTTGAACTGTGATAGAAGTTGCATTTTATTTCATTAAATGAAACATATTATTTTCAATAAATGATGCATAAGTATATTGACCAACAATATGGAAAAGTGAAATCAGACTGTTATCTCACTTGGTATGCAAAAATTGTTGCATGTCATTTAAATATCTAAGAGAGATGAAACTATATAAATGAAATAAAATTATATAAATGTTTTCTATAATAATATAAGAGAATATCTTCATGGTCTTGGAATAAAGAAGACAAAAATTTATATGAGTCATAAAAGAAACAACTAGTAATTTAACGTTATTAAAAATAAGAGCTTAGGGCTGGGCGCGGTGGCTCACGCCTGTAATCCCAGCACTTTGGGAGGCTGAGGCGGGTGGATCATGAGGTCAGGAGATCGAGACCATCCTGGCTAACACGGTGAAACCCCGTCTCTACTAAAAATACAAAAAATATTAGCCGGGCATGGTGGTGGGCGCCTGTAGTCCCAGCTACAGCGGGAGGCTGAGGCAGGAGAATGGCGTGAACCCGGGAGGCGGAGCTTGCAGTGGGCCGAGATCGTGCCACTGCACTCCAGCCTAGGTGACAGAGCGAGACTCCATCTCAAAAAAAAAAAAACTTCTATGTATCAAAGATATCAAAGTTAAAAAGATAACACTAAAAGTAAAACTACAAACCACTGAATTGAAAAGTATCTGCAGCACATACAACTGACAAATATCAGCCATCCAGAACATTTAAAGAACTACATACATCCTGAAGAAAAAAAGAAACAAATGAATACAAAAAGATAATGAAAAGATATGAACTGGTCTTTCTAAATTGGCCATAAGCTTATGAAAAGTGGTTTAACTTCAGTGGCAATCAGAGACATAAATATTGAAACCACAATGTGAAATTGAATGTCAAAAAATTTTAAAGTTGCATAATATTAACTTTGGTAAGATGTTTCACTCGTCGCTGGTTCGAGGGTAAATTGGTACAATCACTTGAGGAAACAGTTGGCATGATCTCTTGAAGATGGAGATTCATGTACTTTACGACCAGTCTTTCTAGACTTGCTGTATATACTATAGAAGCCTTTGTATATGCGCTCCAGAGGACACGTATGAGCATATTCGCAATAACTGAAACTGGAAGTAACCTAGCTGTTCCCCAGCAGTAGAATGGCTACCTGCATGACAGTTTCTTATACCAGGGTATTCTATACAGAAAATAAGATAAATGAACAGCAGCTGCGTACAATAACATAAGAAAAATCTCTAAACATAATGTTCAATAATGAACAAATCATGGGACTGTACATATATATTATATATATGCATATGTGTATATATAATATATATATGCATGTGTGTATATATATTATATATATGCATGTGTGTATATATATATAGCTGTGTGTGTGTGTGTGTGTGTGTGTGTATACAGTGATTCTTTTTGTAGGAAGTTGAAAAATAGCCTAAACTAAATAATGCTTTTGAGGAAAAATTTTAACAGCATTAAAGCTCAGGAAAACAAATAAATGATTATGATGATAGTTAGCATAGTGGTTACCCCTCTCGGATGAGAAGAGGATTACAATTGCATAGAGGCAGACACAGGGCTTCTGGGGTTCTGTAGGTGCCCCATTTCTTGACCTGGGTGCTGTTTTCACAAGAGTAGTTCTTTATAATCATTCATAGAGCTATACATATATATTTTATATATGTTTAAATATAAATTTTCGCTATCTGCAAATGTTTTGAATAAGGAAGAAAGGGAGGGAAAAAAGAAAAAGAGGGGGAAAGAGGAAGGGAAGAAGGAAGGGAGTTGGGCAGACTTAACTGACGCAAATGCCAGATCCATCCTCCCCCAGGGTTGGTATCCAAGCCATTGGGCTTTGCTTATTGTTTGGATGATTGCATCCACACCCGGTCTGGATACCTTCCTCTGGAACCTGATGGAGCCACCACTCCAAGTTGCCAGTGCAATGAAATTATCACATGTTGAATTTCATACTGACTTTAACCTTTCACCTGTGATCTAGATAAACTTCAAGCTGACAACGCCTTGGATTTCAAGAACTTAAGCCTGCACTTTGCTTCTATGAGGAACTGCCAATGTTTTGCCCTCAGGCAAAGAGGAAACCTGATTTCTTTCCCCTGACCATGTCTCAGAATGTCCAGTTCCAGCCGTTAAGATCTCTCCCCTGCTGCAATCTGCTAATTAAGAACATACTCTGTCACCTCTCTCGCTCTCCCTCTTCATCTTCCTCTCCCTTTCCCTCTTTTCCCCTCTCTCCACCTCATTTCTTAATTTTTCCCTCCTACTCTTCCTCCCTTTCATAACATTGCATCATTTCTGATTGTCCTGCTTTGTGATACAGTTCAGGGAGGTTTGACACAGAGAAGAACTGTCAGTTCTTTAATCACTTCTTTATTATCAAGATAGGGAGAGAAATGCCATTATCTTTCACAACTTCACTTTGTGGGACAGATGTATTTTTAGTAGGCTCCAGAGAACTGAAACAATTCTATACATTAACATAACTTCAAAATCAACCACTTTCTCATTGATACAATTTGGAAATAAACTGAAGTGGGTATAGTTTCTTGCTCTTCTGTCCCTCCCAGGGGACAACAATTAGTGAACCAACCACTCATATGGAACTCTCAATTGGCCACGTGAATAGAGTGAGTGGGTAAGTGTTCATGTTCCTAACACATATAAAATATAAAAAGAATTTAAGAATATTACAATCTATACATAGATATATTTCATTCTTAGGATCTGCTCTAGCTAAAATAAAAATGATAATCTACCTACTAATTATTAAGCCACTGTTATATATAAGGTACTATGATAGTTGCTTGCTATACACTATTTAATTTAATCTTCAATAGTTCTACATGTATGTATTGTTTCTTTGCAGACTGAAGTGAACTGAGCTTATAGTGCATATGGGAAAAGTTTCTGTATAGTTCAATCTGCATCTAATTTATGCATGGATGCTTAGCAACTGTCAGAAAAGCATTCTGAACACTCCTCCATGGGGTGAACATTAAAAGATTCTTTTCCTCAGGGATCTAGAACTAGAAATACCACTTGACCCAGCCATCCCATTACTGGGTATATACCCAAAGGATTATAAATCATGCTGCTATAAAGACACATGCACACATATGCTTATTGCGGCACTATTCACAATAGCAAAGACTTGGAACCAACCCAAATATCCAACAATGATAGACTAGATTAAGAAAATGTGGTGCATATACACCACGGAATACTATGCAGCCATAAAAATGATGAGTTCATATCCTTTGTAGGGATATGGATGAACCTGGAAACCATCATTCTCAGCAAACTATCGCAAGGACAAAAAACCAAACACCGCATGTTCTCACTCACAGGTGGGAATTGAACAATGAGAACACATGGACACAGGAAGGGGAACATCACACACTGGGGCCTGTTGTGGGGTGGGGGTAGGGGGGAGGGATAGCATTAGGAGATATACCTAATGTTAAATGACGAGTTAATGGGTGCAGCACACAAACATGGCACATGTATACATATGTAACAAATCTGCACGTTGTTCACATGTACCCTAAAACGTAAAGTATAACAAAAAAAAAAAAGATTCTTTTCCCTCAAACAGGAAATTTTACAATTGTGTCTTAGAGTTTTAACTAAGTCTGAAACATTAAACAAAAATGAAAATGTAAGAGATAGGATTGCATAAGTCACGGGGGCATCAAAGAGGATCGGGTGGTGGGAGTAGAAAGTGTGGAGATAAGATTCCTAAAATCATTGCATGATACCCTCAGAAACCACTAACAGTAACTTCCAGCCTCAGCAACTCCCTTTGCTTATCAATTTACAACATGGAAATGGGTACATCACTCAAAGTCTATGTAGCAAATATTCGTGTCAATGGTGCTTAAAAATTCTGTCATTTTTTCCCCAAAACCCCTACAGAGAATCTCCCACACTGAAAATTAAGCTCAAGGAAAGTTTTGCTTCTTGCAATTTAGCAGTTTTGAGTTTTTCGTGCATGGGCGCCACTCCACCCCATCCCACTCCATCCTAAATTGAGTTTGAGGCTTTTTTGTTTTCACTCTTGCATAACATGAAAACGAGTGAACACATTTTACTCAAAATTTCCATCTGCAAATCCCCTAAGTGGTGTGAAAAATCCTGGAAAATCTCAGAGCAAAAGAGGACGCTAGGAAAAATCAGGACAAGTGGAAACAGCAGTGAGGGATGTAACCTAATGTCTGTGTCAACACAACCAGTGTTGCTCAAAGACGTCCGCTCTGCAGTGAGGCTGGGCTGCTAGGTCAAAGCCATGGCTTATTTCTGTTTCACAGTGATGATCAGGAAGCACCTGCCCCCATCAACAACCCAACATGCCTCTCCATTGTCCAGATCCTATAAAAATGATGCCCCAAAAGCAGCATTGGCTCTAAAGTAAAAAAGAAAAATTGGAAAATTGACATCAATATGGTCAAACAGGTATGAAACAGAACATTATTTTAACTAGCAAATTAGAATTCACTTCATATAGAGATATATATACACATATATATTTGTATACATACATATATGCATATGTATGTGTATATGTAGAGAAATCCACAAATATGCATATGTAAATAATATTTAATTGAGATGTGAATACGTTTTAGTATGTCTGATATAGTGTGGCATGGGCCTCTTAAAATATGGTCTTTGAAAAGCCCTGCTCAGCTTGCAAACATTGCAATTTGTTATTCCCTCATTCAAATGGATAAAATTGCTAAGTATGTGTCACTTCAGTAAAGCCAAATAAAACTGCTATTATGCACGGTTCTTGAAAGTATATAACTTCCTTCAAAGAACACAAAAATGTAGTCGAGGAAGCCGGTCATTTTAAAACAAGAGAAATTATGGCATAATTTTAAAAAGATAATTAGCAAATGACAATATAAACAGGGGAGAGCGAAAAAGGTGATTCTGGAACTGCTATAGGAAAGACCACATGAAGAAGCTGGGTCTTGGGTTAGGTCTCAGAGTGGGGCTGAAGATGTGGGTAAAGGGGGAGGAGTATGTGCTAGCATCGAGGGAATGATGGGGCAGGCAGATGGGGGGTGTTGAGAGAGGGGCCACAGTCTCAATATCTTTAGTGAACTTGGCTGTGCACATTCATAAAGGATGCTGGGAAGAAGCTTTTACTGGTAAGATTCGTAATATTTAATTATGTAAGTGTTAGTTATGTAACATTTAATAGCTAAAATTTTCTCTGTCCACCTACAGAGTCAGGAGCACCAGTAGATTCTTGAGAGAGCAGCCAGTAATGGGCCAGCATCAAAGAAGCTGATGAGGGACTTTTTGCACCCCCACACCTAAAGCAAGAAGATATTGAGGGCCCAGACTAATTACTTCTTTATTCTATTCTGGGATGTCTTCAGAAATCCTTTCTTCGTGATGTGCAATGGATGCTATCATTTCAGTCACCATGATGTCGAAGTGGGAATCGATATTTGAGGGGAGGGAAATATCCCAACCCTGACCATCTACTGGTAAGACTAGCCTCTCTTGTGTTGGTGGGACTTTTATATTCCAAAGAAAGAGTTAAAAAATCAATCTGTGTTCTACGCTCCCACCACATTTTGCTTCTATTATTCTGTAACGGATACCTCCTTCCTTGTGTTAGCATTCAGTGCACACATGAATACCCCACGTTGCTCACATGTGGACAAGGCAGTGGTGTCAGAGATACTTCGTCTATCTCTGTATGCCCCATACCTAGCACAGGGTCTAGCCATTGGGAGGTGCTCAGTGAGAGGAATAAATGGGAAAAATATCATATGAATAAATAAAGACAACAAAACTGCACACTCCTACAAATGATGTCATATCTACATACATATATGCATACATTGAGAGAGAGAGAAAAAAGTGTTGAATTTCCAGAAGAGATATACTTTAAAAAATTTTTACAGATGAGCAGTAATGCTGGTTTCTTCACATTGCAGAAATTGTTATTGTGAACCACTGTTTCCAAATACCCACCTGAGTATAGAAATGAAACTTTGGTCCTAATAGCAGTAGTGGGTTTGTGTTTCTTGTTCTCAGATTACAGAAATAATGAGGTTAGTGTTGTGTGGAAGGAGAATTTTCAAAGAACACAACTGGGTCCAAATCTAGCACCCCCAAAGATTGCTTTTGTAATTTTAAAGTGAGTGTTCTCTTGGAGGATGAATTTCTCCTCTGCAAAACTAGAACATAATGATATCACTATTTACAGCAGTTGCTATGAGGATAATACACATGACAATACTCTGTTAATTGTTAAGCATTATAAAAATATAAGAGAAAAATACTGTGTTTGCCTCAAATTTAGAACTCCTTGCTTTTTAACACTCTGCAAAGCGTTGAATGGAAAGAAAAAGGAATATCCTACAGATTGAAAACCATGCAAAAGAATCCATGCCTTCATGGTTACCTCTCATCCAGAACATTCCCCCATATCCTGGCTGCAAACTCCATGGATTTCCGAAACAAAAGATGTTACTTTGTCTAACCTTTGACTCCTCTCTGATGAGGAAACAAAGCCTCAGTAAAGGAAAGTGGCTTCTCCAAGTTTAGAGAATGGGATCCCTCATAGGGGAATCTGAACATGCTCTGAATCCTAACTCACCTCTTTCTCCTGGGCCACGCTGTCCTCATGAGAAAATATGTCATGTTTCTGCATTTGAGGTTGTCCATGTTTTCCTTTATTCAGTTTCCTATGTGAACAAAAAGTATGGCTGAGGGTTTTGTGGGGAGGAAGTTGAGGCCAAACAATGTTCTTGCTTGTTTTTACAGCATGCACCATGAAATTAGGGTAATAGAGGTTGAGATGTTGTAGAACCTAACAGAAAGATGATAGGTTTTGGAATCAAGCCTGGGTTTGAATTCTGACTTTTACCCCGGTCCCATGCCCAACCCCCTAAGCACATACAGCTTACTCTGAAATCATGGGAAAGTTATTTAAATTTTGTAAGTTTTAGTTTCTTTTGTAAATGGAGGAAATTGATAGAAATCAAGAGTTGTGCTGTGGATAGTTAATTGAGCTCACATTTGCAAAGCACGTAACACAGTGCTTGGTTCACAGATAGTCAGTGGCGATGGCTATTTTCTTATAATAGTATGATTAAAGAGTTTTATGCTATAGTCCATGGTTCTCTGCTTTATCTAATAATGGGATAGTAAAACATTTCCTAGAATAGGGAGAAAAACAAAAGGAGACTATTAGATTTATATAAGCAATTTCATCTAATTTTGGCTAGTTCCTAAAATTAGTTTTTTTTTTAAGGCTGACCACTAAATGCTTTTATGATTATACAAAAGCACAGAAAGAGCACTTTGGATTAATAAATGCTTGTTAACAAGCTAGAAATATGAAACAAGATTTGTAGATGATATCACTACTATGGTAATGGTTTTCTACAAAACTCAGAAAAATTTAAAAATTTGACTATATGAATTAATATTCCACATGCATACAACACAAGAAATTTAATAGACACAAATTTATGATGATCAGTTTTGGACAAACTACCCAAAGATGAAGGGGAAGGATTACTTAAGTTGTTCCCAGAAAGCGTGGTGAACCACAATCTATCTGGGAGTTCACAACGTCACAGTGAAGCATTGCTACACACTCACTGGGATGTGTTCCAAGTGGCATGTCATATATAGCCCGTGAGGGAGAACGTTTCATCTACCTCATGCATTCTTTAGATACAAGCAACAGATTCAGGTATGGCCTGGCACTTACATGAAGAACAGCTATTATTCAGAGATGAGAAACAAATATGAACAGAAAGATGGAAAATAGTTGCTATATGAGACATATGAAGTCAGGTATAAGTTTTGGTTTGTAGCATCTGCTTTGAAGCAGCAAAGTATTTCTTTCTAGGGTCTTTGATTGACATTGCATATAACAATACTTTTCTTAGTGGATTGTTTAAAAATATGTTTGGCCGCACTTAACAACAAAGTTTCAGAAGCTCTAAGGATATACATATTTTGTTTATCTATTACACAGAAAAAGTAATTAGTTTGGGGTCAGTATGATAGCTCCGAGGTTATCAGAAATTTAGCCTAACTCTGTTTAAATTTTCTACTTCTTTCATACGTAGCTTCTTCCATCCTCAAGTTTACTTCATGTCATAAGATATGAGCTGCGGCCTGACCACTCCATACACATTTCAGGTAGCAGGAAGGAAGAAGGAGTTCAGTTGAGTCAGTCTTAGAGCTTTTGGGGAAGCTCTGCCCACACCTCTACTGCCTTGACTTGCGTTTTATAGATCATTGACCCCTAATAGCTGCAAAGGAGGCTGAGAAATTTCATATTTTATCTCTGCCCTTTGCTGCACTGAATAAAGTCAGGGGGGTGTTTTTAAAATAGAAGGGGAGAATGGGTATTACGTAGGCAACTAAGTCTGTTCTACAATTGTGCTTCCCAGCTAACATTCAAACTGGAACTTCACTGGTTGATGTGATTTCCTGAAGTCAGAGAGAAAATCTCTTTTACTTTTACAAAAAAAGTTGTATTCCTGAAAAACATTTAATACTGATTTACAGCTTGCAAAGAATCTTTATACATATGAGCTATTTGATTCTCACAGCAATCATGGACTGCAGAGAGAAAATGTAATAACGTACACACCATTGAATACTATGCAGCCATATAAAACAATGAGATCATGTCTTCTGCAGGGACACGGATGGAGCTGGAGGCCATTATCCTTAGCAAACTAACGCAGGAACAGAAGACAAAATACTACATGTTCTCATTTGTAAGTGGGAGGTAAATGATGAGAACACATGGACACATAGAGGAGAACAACACAAAATGGGTCCTATCAGAGGGTGGAGGGTGGGGTGAGAGAGAAGATCAGGAAAAATAACTAATGGGTACTAGGCTTAATACCTGGGTGTTGAAATTACCTGTACAAAAAACCCACATGACACAAGTTTACCTGTGTAACAAACCTGCATATGTACCCCTGAACTTAAAATAAAAGTTAAAAAAGGAAATATTTTGTGGATATCATCAAAGAATAAAATAAGCTTAGAAAAGCTTAACAAATTGCCAAAGGCTAACCAGTTAGTAAGTGGATGAAACAAGATTTAAACCAGATCTGACAGACTCCAAAGCCCACATTCTTTTGTTGGAAAATTGATTAACAAGCTGTCAAGTCCCCCTAATTATTTTTTAACTAGGAAGTTATGATTTTCCACTTATTCTATCCTTTATTTGTAGCCAACTATGTCTTTAAAAAAAAAAGGTTAGCAAAATCAAAGTTATTTAACTTAGGGTGGGCAAAGGAAGGAAAGGAAAGCAAAGAAGGAAAGGAAGCTAGCTCACATGTATTATTTACTAACTTCTTTTTAAACACATGACCTTATTCTACCCTTCCAGCAGCTGTGTTGAGTAGGTAATATTATTCCACTGATGAGGAAACTGAGATCAGAGAGGTGATGAAACTCTTGTGAGCTCATCCTGTCAGTAAGTGACAGATGAGGATTTTAGCACCACTCTTTTTGACTCCCTACCTGAACTTTAATTTATTAATATCTCAAATTATTTGAAAGGTTGTTTCCTGATTATTTATCCATATGGAGGTGTGCAATAATGAAGAGACAAAATAAAGTAAAAGCTATGTTAGTTGAACAGTAGAACTTCTGAATAATGAGAAGAAAATCAAACAAAGAATAACAGCCTGTAAATATTTGAAGTATTTATTACTGCCTCTTTAGGAAGATCTCAAATGGCCCTTTGTCCTAGCTGGTTTAAACATACATTTGTTTTAAAGAGGAACGGCCTATGGTTTTCTCAACTGACATTTTTTAGTTTTAGGTTCACAGTAATAATACGTAATACTGAATACTAATATATGACTAAGGTTACTAAATATTGCATGAGATATAATTATATATATACACACATACATATATATGTTATTTATCTTAAATTCAAATTTAATGGAGTTCCTATATTTTCATTTGCTAAGTCTAGCAATCCTATATGTGCCTATATGCATATGGCTTCATTTAATTCTTGCAACAGCTCTTGATAGGGTTAGATAAGGTTATGGATATCTAGGGAGGTTAATTTCAAGATCACACAATTACAATATGAGGATTCACATTCATATATGTCTGCCTCATAGTCTATGGTCATAACATATTTTCTCGAGGGTTGCAGATGAAAACAACCTTGACATTCTCTAACCATTAAATCATTTAACTATTTATTGATTATTCTAAAAGAGGAAAGGGAGCCCATGAAAGCTGTAAAGAATAAAAAATCTGCCTCCTGAACAAAGGCTAAAGTAGGTGATGCTTTTAATATCTTCCAGATCATTAAGAGAAGCAAAGAAATGTCCTTTTTGAGAATCATTAAAGCAGTAGTTCTCAACAGGGGGAGATTTTCACCCAGGGGAACATTTGGTGATATCTGGAGACATTTTTGGTTGTCACAATTGGAGGTACTACTGGAATCTAGTGGGTAGAAGCCAGGGATGCCAAACATCCTACAATGCACAGGTCAGCAGGTCAGCCTCCACAACAAAGAATTATCCAGTCCCCAAATGTCAATAGTGCTGAGTTTCAGAAACCCAAATTAAAATAATCTGTTGAGGTTTTAACATTTCTGTTTTTACTTTAAGATGCAGAACTGCATGCAGAGAGTTGGAGGGTGGAGGTTTGGGGGCTTCCATGAAGGGTGTCTATATTCCAAATAGTAAAAAAAAAAAAATACATATATATATATATATATATATTCCTGCATTCTATGGAATATGTAGGAGAAGCTGGCTGGAGCCCTTTGGAAACTGGCACCTAACAGTGTGCCCTCATCATCTTTAGAAATCAAAGCTGGTCTTTGCTGTGCTATCCTTCCTGTGTTTTCTGATGGTTCAGTTTTCTTCTTTGTGGTGATACTTGCATTGGTTATTGATAAGGTTTGGCTCTGTGTCCCCACCCAAATTTCGTATTGAATTGTAATCCCCACATGTTGAAGGAGAGACCTGGTGAGAGGTGAATTGATCATGGGGGGAGTTTCCCCCTTGCTTTTCTCATGACCATGAGTTCTCAGAAGATCTGATGGTTTAAAAGTGTTTGGCAGTTCCCCCTTCATGCGCTCTCTCTCTCTCCTGCTGTCACGAAAGATGTGCCTTGCTTCCCCATCACCTTCTGCCATGATTGTAAGTAAGTGTCCTGAGGCCTCCCGGCCTTGGGGAACTATGAGTCAATTAAACCTCTTTTCTTCCTAAATTACCTACTCTCAGGTAGTTCTTTATAGCAGTGTGAAAGGGGACTAATACAGTTATATGCAGACTATGCTGTGCACTGCAATTCTAATCAAAGTGTATCTTATTTTTGGACAACTCAGTTACAAAGGCCACACGTGAGTGAGCATGGAGGAAAGTTGAGACTCCAAGTGTCCCCCATCTGCATTTGACCCTTTTGTCCTTACACTCATACTGCCTCTCCAGATGTCCCTGTCTGTCTAAACGTTCGGGAAAAAGGGATTGTAACTAAACGACTGGATTAGCATAAAATGCATGGAGTTAAACTACCTTAAATTCAATCTCATTCAACTGATTTTCTCAGTATGTAACCATGGACAGTTTTTAAGAACCTCTGAACACCATATTTATTACCAGCAAAATGCAAATAATTATATTCATCTCACAGGGTTGTGGTAAGGATTATGGAAGATAAAATACCTTAGAGAAATTATTTTATAATTTAAAAAGCATCATTTAAACAGCTTAAAGTCGTTATAGACTATTTGCAAAGACGGTTTTAAAGCATATGTGTTAGGCTAAAGCAGCTATCCATGTTTGTAGTTTATTCATTCTATTGACAAACTCAATTTTATGTACCGTGATGTAGAGAGCATGCCCTCCCTCAACCAAAGGAACAGGACTATTTTGCTAAATGTGTTTGTTTAAACACTTTCTCCTTTTTTTGCTGGGTAGGTGGCAGGGAGAGCAAAGTAACTTTTTCTTCAAACAAATAAATGCAAGAAATACCCCCATTCTGGTTGACAGAACTTGGTAAACAATGGCTAGCTTTTAAATGTTGATGGCCTTAGGGTACAATTGAGTTTGAGTGGTGCCTTCAGCATCTCTTGACAGATGAGAATTTGTAAAGTGAGAAACACCAGACTGACCTTGGCTCTGTGTTACCAAACTCAAACAGACACGATTCTGAGTGGGAGAGCCACCCTCTTCCAAGGAGCTGAGCAGGGGTTCGGGTTCTAGTGCAAAACATTTCAGGGGCTGGATTCTTTAAAGTTTTTTTTTTTTTTTTTAAGTGGAGGTTTCCATAAGGGCTATATTAATTTCAGGATTCTCATTTTTTTCTGGTCCATGTCAGAGTTACAGAACACCCAGAACCAGAGGGAGGCTGATATTGAAAATGGAGAGACATGAGTAAAGAATAGAAAGACTTGCCTGAAGTCGGATCTAGATATCTTTTCTCTTTCCTTCCTGCCCACCCTGTTCCTCGCAACTTACCGTACTGTATTATTGTCTGTCTACTTTCATGTCCTCTTCCCCATGAGACTGTGAACCCCTTGGGGACAGGGAGTGAGTCTTTTTTATTCTTTAACCACAGCACTTTGCATGTAATGCCTATTATATAGTTTGAGCTCAATAAAGGAGGCAAGGGGAAGGGGAGGAAGGAAGGAAGGAAAGAAGGAAGGAAGGAAGGAGAAAAGAGAGGAAGGAAAAAAGGGAGGGGGAGGGAAGGAGAATGTAAGGAAGGAAGAGGTTAAAAATGAAAGAAAGAAAGGAATAAGGGAGGGAGGGAGGGCGGAAGGAAGGAAGGAAATAAAAGAGGGGCAAAAAGAAAGGAAAGGAGAAAAGGAGAGAAATAGGAAGGGGAAAGGAGAAAGGAAGAGGTGGCTTGATTAAATTTGATCTTGCACTAACAAGAGTAAAATGAAATTCTTCAATCCAATGAAGTTTGTCAGACAAATGGTTACTACCTTAAAAAAAGTTATCTCTCTATGAGAAAGCGTAAAACAAACTCTAGTTCTGCAGCAATTTCCCAGGACCTGGCTTAGCACCCTCAGGAACCTCATCCTTCTTGACTTTACCTTCCCACCCAACTCTCTTGGTCTCCTCATGAGCTCCCCTCAATTCCTTGCTTATTTGCCCTGGTGTATTGGCATTTATATTTCACTGTCCCCATTTGAATGTGGTGATCCAGTTCTGAATATGTCTGTAACCTGGCAGGAAACCCACAGGACAGTGCTCCCAACACCATCAGAGGTGCCTCTCTTATATCTCTGGGCATAAGGGCACACACTGGTGCTGTGCCCAGGTTCCTGGACACCAGAACCATGAACCCTGCCCCTCATAAAGGGAATTAGAGAATGATGTTTTCAAATAAGGCCCCATCACCAGACAAGACCTACAAAACACTGGCAGTACATTCCTGTATCAAGACACACCTGAAGCCAGCACAGACCCTGGATTCAATCTACATTTGCAGAAGTCAGTGAATTCTCCTTCTGCTTATGCCAAGGTTAATCAAGATGCCTTCACTAACTGACTGATAGCATGAGTGAAGCAACATTTGTCTGGCTTTGAAACTTAGGTTCCTTCTAAATGACAAGGCTGTTCCCACAAGGTTCCATCCCCAGGTCTCTCTGAGGGTGTTTTGGTGGGTTGTCAGGCACACTTGCCCTAGAAAAGCTGCAGAATTCCTCTCAATACTTCGGCAAGAACCGATCCATGATAAATGATTTGGATATTGGGCTTTCACTTAATACTTCTCTGGAATATTCCCTTGAAGCTGAATAACTAGCCATTGAAAAGCAACTGCCATATGCCATTCCGATGGCTCAGTTGAAGCAAATTAGTGAACTCTCCTAATTTTCAGCTGATTCAATCATGAATGGAAGTTATGAGTTGCTGTGAATTGAACACTAGATGTGCTATCTGTGTGGTTGGTATTTTACTTGCTTCTTGATGGGCACAAACTGTCAAGCCCAGGGTGTCTCTTTTACCAACTATCAGAGCCTACCACTAGATAGCTAGTATTAGCTTTAGTGTATCTGAAAAGCTTTCAGATGAAATAATAATAATAAACACATTTATCTGAAGGAAGCTCTAAAGCATACATAAATCTTTTTACGTAGACTAGGCTAAAGTAACAAAAAAAGTTTATATATGTATCATTCAATATGATAGGAGTTTATTTCTAAATAAGTTAATGGTTTCAGGTATGTCAGTGGTGAGGAAAGTGACTCTGCTCCATGGGGTCTTTCAAGAACTTTAGGATGATAGCAGCTCTGCAACCGTCAACGTGGTGCTTACAAAGTTACCATGGTGGGGCGGATGTGGTGACTCCAATTAGCTTTAAAGATTAAAAGGCATGGAGGAAGAAAAATGAGAGGTTTTAATGGGCCACAGCTGGAAGTGGCACTCATACTTTTATTGGCTGGGGCTTAGTCACATGGTCACTTCTAGCACAAGGGAATATGAGAGATGTAATTGAACTAGTTCCCTGCTCAGGAAAAATGGAAGAGTAGATTTTTATTGTACAGATGAAGTAAATTTCTGTTAAAGGCAAAAGAGAATTTGTTGATTTGTAGAGAAGCATTGGTTTCCCCAGGAAAATAAGAAACAGGAACATATTGTTTGGGGGTTAGGATGGGTGTAGTAGGAAGACAGGAGTAGGGGACCAAAAGAGAACGTGAGATGGTTGGAAAGTCCATCTCTGCCACCTTGTTCAAATGTCTGATCACCAGCTGGGAAGTAAGCATAGTCTCTAGGATTCTTATTGCCACACAGTGAAGGCAACTCCTCCTCTATAAGGTCTATGTAATTTGGTATCTCACTCACAATAAGAAATTGAAGTTGTAACTACGATCTAGAGAACCTTGCCATGCCTGGAGCCCATGAGAGAGGTCCAGTTGCAGAGACAGGATATTTCCAAGGGCAGTGGTGTTTTGTGATTTAGGAGTAAATGAGTAAGTGAGTAAGGAGGTCAAATCCAAGTTCAAAAAGAAAAGTTTGATTTAATAATTGAAAAATAGTCAAATGAATAATGGCAATCACCATAATGACTACATAGACCCTTAATATGTTCAAAAGCAGTGAGCTTTAAAAAATCTGCATGCATTGGATTTTTTCATCTTTCTCTACTGTTTTCATTCTAAAACCAAGACGTAGGTGGAAAATTTTATTAGCATCTGGGTGAGGCCCCGTGCCAGTCTTGAAATATTTCATTAATCATTGAGATTCTCACCCTCTTTTTTTTTTATTTTTTAGAACAATGACTCACCAATAGCTGCACAACAGTCAGGACAGAGGTAACTGAATTTTACATTTTTAAGCTCTGCTTCTTAAAAAAAATCTTCACTTCTGAAATATAAGACTGCTTTAAGTGAATATGTATGTGTTTATGAGAGAGAAGTGGGAAAAAGAAAATTAACTGCAATTGAGAAGTGATACTTATGTTTAAGATTTTCTTTCCTTTCCAGTTTTCCGTATTAGTCTTACCCACCTTTTCCCCTTGGGGAGAAGGAGTCCAGGGAGCTGCTGGAGGCACCTCTCATTGTTTGTACTTCACCACTTAATTGAAAGTACACTGGGTCACATACTCTCCCATACCTTTTATCCAGAATGTTCTGGAAAAAAACACAGTGAGAAGAGAAGAGGCAGAAAGAAGTACTTGGGAATCAAGAAAGAGGTGACGTGACAACCTCTCCCTTCACAGGAGACTCACTCTAACTGAATTTCTTGTCTGTCACAGCACATGTCCGGAAAATTTCATTTTAATTTGCCTCAGCTGGGACTACAGTTACTGTTTGAAAGAAAGAACAATCAACAAAGTACCTAGGAAAGAAGACATCTTGCAACACTCTTCAATTTCTTCTTAAATGCTTGGGGGAAACGTGAAAAATTTTGATAAATAGGAAAACAAAATTGTTGGCAATAAAATTAATAAACAGCTTATATTTTCTTCCTTTCAAATTTACTGAAGTTTTAATTAAGAGTTACACTTTCCTCTACATGTCATCAGCTCTCCCTGAAAAATTTACAGATTGATTGGCTTATTAGTAAATGGGCTAACATCTCCACACTCATATATAGACATATAGAATTGTGCTGTATAACATCCATACATGTGGGAAGACACTTTGTCTTTTTCCATCAGGTGGACCTGCTCGGAAGAAGGCATCCCTGGCCTCTGTCTTTTTTGACTCAGGTGATTGGGGGAGTTATTCTATTGAGTTTCCAGGGCTTACAGGCTCCTTCCTCTCCTGTAAGTCAGCGCACAGTCTGGCTTGCTCACCCAGGTCAGCAGCTGCAGGAAGAAGAAATGGAAACTCTCTTCATTGTCATCAAGTCTCTTCCTCTGCCAAAGAACAATTGATCCCTGCAACTTCTAGCAGAGGGAAGAGGCTTTCCAAGGACAGCAGAAGGAAGAGACAAACTAACCCAAATGATCAGCATCCCTCGGGACAGGGAGTTGTCCAGAAGCGAGCAGTAACAGGAGGGAGAGAGATGAGGGCAGTGGAGATGCAGGAGGAGCAGAATGTCCTGGGCTAGCCTTTTAGGGGCAGAAACCCAGGGGAGGTCTGAGAACCTCACTGAGATACTTCGACACTTATTGGGGCTCTTTTGGTAATATAATGTGATTTTATTCCTTTTTAAATATATTGCCTAACCTGTTATTGGAATCAAAGGAGATCTAATTCTAATTAAGCAATAAATCCTTAAGACAAAACTTGAAGAAGTAGCCACAGGGATAGTTAATCATCAATGGTCTTTGATGAGTACTACTTCAACTTTGGGGCTCACAGAAAAGCACTCGGAAATGTGCCCAGACTGTGCTGGGGCCAGGCATGTGAGCTGACCTCACACACGTGAAAGTGAAAAGGAATTAAATGGTTAAACAGGAACCCCTGAAATAAAGACCAAGTTTACTACTAACAAATTTTTTCTGAAAGGAATACTAAATCATGTACTTAACACAAGAAGAAAAATAAACCCAGAAGGAATGAGATCCAACAAGAAGTAATATGAGAAAAGATGATGGTAAAATATGGTGGTATGTCAAAATCATATCGACCACAAATATCAAAAATATTTGGGGAAGTTAACGTCAGAGTGTGATTTAATTACAAGGCAATCAAAACACAGAGGATGAGAGGAGGAAATTGAGAGGGAAATTAAAGCTTTCCAAGGTTCTTGTCTTATTTGGGAAGAGAATGAGATATTAATTTTAGAGTTGGTTAGAAAGGTATAAATTTAAGTTTTCATGTAACTTACTATTTTTCTTTTATTAAAAAAATCTCAAAAGCAATTATAGGATTAACACTGATTAATTCTGATTACTGAATACTTGGATGATTGACATTTTCTGCATCTTAAAACTGTTCACCAAATTTAAAAAAGAAAGAGTAAGGAATGGAAGAGAAAAAGAGAGAGAGTAAGGAATAGAAGAGAGAGAGAGAGACAGAGAGAGAGAAAGTCCCAAGTTATGGGGCAAACTGCTGAGCTTTGAGAGGAAGTTGTAGAACTATGTAAATAAAAAGAAGCCATTCTGAGGCTAACTGGAAAAAGAGAACAGTGACTTTGTATAGAACTGTTTGAAGGAAGCACATCTCTACGTAAATCAATCTATAAAGACAGTTCGTAGGGAAGAAAGGTAATTCCATGGGTAAAAGCTTAAGATTTTCTGTGTATAATAACAAGGAAATAATAAAGTAAGATGGCAGATGGAGAACAGAACCTAAGACAAGTAAGGGAAATCCAAAACAGACATGTTCTAGTACCTCCGACTCTAGCTAGGGGCTCCCTCAACAATTAAAATAAGCAGGATTTCAAACCTTGTATTAAAATTCCTGGTGTTTTACTTGAAATCAAGTGCACATATCACGACCATTCAAATTTCTGAGTTATGCCCAGTCTCACGTAGGACGAGGGCTCAGTTCTTCTCAGTGCTTTTGTCGTCTTCATAGTGTCCCAAGTTAAAAGTCTCTGCTGGTGGCTGGGTGCGGTGGCTCATGCCTGTAATCCCAGCACTTTGGGAGGCTGAGGCAGGTGGATCACGAGGTCAGGAGATCGAGACCATCCTGGCTAACACGATGAAACCCCGTCTCTACTAAAAATACAAAACAAAAAAAAAATAGCCAGGTGTGGTGGTGGGCGCCTGCAGTCCCAGCTACCCGGGAGGCTGAGGCAGGAGAATGGCGTGAACCTGGGAGGCGGAGCTTGCAGTGAGCCGAGATGGCGCCATTGCACTCCAGCCTGGGTGACAGAGCAAGACTCCGTCTCAAAAAAAAAAAAAAAAAAAAATCTCTGCTGGTTCTCCTCTAGATGGATACTAGGCCAAGGGAAGCTAGTTAACTATTCAGTTAGGTTCTGGTAGCAAGCGTATGCAGCCCATAAACCAATCAACTTGGCCATTCACTCCGATCTAACAGTGGATTTCTGACTGCATCTTTGTGTACAGGGTTACTACAGGCTAAACAGGCTAAGATGGGAGTGAGCACAGGAAGTGTGTGGCGCGGCCTTCCTGGGCATACTCCACATACTGCACGGAGAACACCTGAAAAATGCTTATGTGGTTGAGAATGACTTTCAAGCCTAAATATACTTTGCCTAATTAATCATTTAAAATGCAGTTTATATGAATAATAACAAATGACATTTTTAAAGAAGTTTACAGAGTGCCGTTATGAACGTGGTCTCTCTCAAATCTCCTAAAGGCTGTAAGACAGATACCTCTTGAGCCTTTCCCAGCAACTAGAATGTGGGGAAGGACCTTTTATAGGCCCTGCAACCCCTAGAACTGAACATCTTGGTCATCTATTAAACGTTTTCATTTTCGGCTTGTTACTTGTCTCCCCAGTTTTTTTCTTCCTCTGGTCAGGGTTTATTTGGCCAAAGTAGCCATCTATTGTTGCATCTTGGGATGCACTTGAAATAGTCCCTGCGCCCATCAGCCCATATATTATGAACACTGGGCTCTTGGTTGTCTTGTCCAGAGTGTGGCTTACAGCATAGCCTAGCCCAGGAATGAGCACACAGATTTCTATGAAGAATCCTTAGCTTTCTATGCTGATAGATTATTATTTTGGTCCTTGAAGGAATGGAAGGAGTAAAACTGGATATTCTATTGGTATGGTGAGTTTCATCTCTATAGAGATAAAGACTTAAATTTTCTCCTTGATCCTATAGTCTTGTTCTGTCTCTAGGGCTGCATGGATGGAAATATACTTTTTTCATTTTCTATTGAATCTGCTTTTAAAAACAGATTAAACAGGGTGGGAAGTTTATTTTTTCTATTTTTGGAAAAAGCATAGGATATTTTGTTTTGTGAATTCTTGGAAGATTGGTATTTAAGGCCTTTTTATCCATTTCTGGGAGATTTATAAAATTCAAATTCAATACAATTTTGAACACATTTAACAACTGAATTTATTCAGTTTATCTATGTGTTATGTTCATAAAAACAACTACACTTATATCTATTAATTTGTAATTTTTAAAGTACTTTCTTTGTGCAGTAGCTATTTCTGTTTCGATGACACCCACAGGGTGAACAGGAAAGAAAATAATTTATCTTTCCTGCTCACCCTGTGGGTATCATCGGAACAGAATGATAGAGAAGCTTAGAATCATTGAGATTAAGTCACTCGCTCAGGGACACATAGCTGGTAAGGGACTGGAAAGAATCTTTAGGCTCCTAACACAGTAGGCTTTCTCCTAAACTGCATCACCTTGTGAAAATATTTATGGAGATGTTAAAGGCCATTATATGGCAAAGGAGGCTAAAAGTGAGCAACATTTTGGCCATTTTCACACAGGGAAGCTTTTGGCCTTAGCTTCCTAAGCATTACCATTGTCCACAAAATAAACACTAGCCTCTAAATGTCCACTTAACCTGGCCACCCGGCAGGTAAGGCCTCACATGGCCCAGAACGCTTCCTCCACCTATTTGGGATTACCTCAAGGGGGACCCAACTAGACAATCTTGTTCTTCTAAATGAAGCCCTGGGGTGAAAGTGTCTAAGCACAGACTAAGTAAAGTAGCGTGGTAAAAAGGTGGGCACTGGCATCCCAAAAAACTTGGCTAGACACACTGAAGGAAAGGCCCCATAGACATGGTCTATACTATACTGGTCTGACCACCCCTTGAATAAGACAAACATTGAGCGTGTGTGTGTGTGTGTGTGTGTGTGTGTGTCTGTGTCTGTGTCTGTGTCTATGTGTGTACCAGACACATGCTTGGTGTTCCTTCATTTATCATTTTATTAATTCCTCTGGGAAGTAGGCATTGCCAACCCAATTTAGAGAGAAGGAAACTGAGACCTAGAAGTGTCTTGCTGAAAGACACACCCCTTATGAATGGCAGAGCTGTTAAACTAGAAACCGGGTCTGTCCAAATCTGAAGTTCATATTCAGACAGTTCATTTAGAGCTCAGTGGGAGGCAAAAGAGAATCATGGTTAAGGTCATGGTGAGGGAATACCTAGATGCTTTTCTGTTGAGGGAATGGCTTTTGATTGAACTTTTTCTTTTCAGGCTCAGGGGTACTGTGTGGAGTTGGAAGGGATGGAAGAATTAAATATCAGGGTAAAGGTATCCAGAGAAAATGGTTTCAATGGCTTATTTTATAGCCATGTCAAAGGTAATTGTGTCCCAGTATCTGTTTCACTACTTAACAGCACACTTTCAGGCAGATTGTTAAACATTATCCTATTAAGGCCAAATAGTCACTCTGTAGGAATGAAGTTTTGTACATATTCTTGTTCCCATAAGTTATTAGGAAGTTTAAAAATTGTCCATTACTCAGTGTGAATTGCCAAAAGGAAAGGCATAGAGCAATTTTTCATTTTTTTATTTGGAAATCAGCTTGGAACTGAAATGAATAAACAATGAAATGCATGTACTTTAGCCACTTTGGATGTTAGAGCTGGAACACAGGTGGGAAGTCACTGGCCCATCCCCTGTCTCTGGAAGGAGCTCTGGTTAAATAGACACAGGTCTGCCGTACTGCAGCTGTTCTCAAAGAGGGGCAATTTTGACCCTACCCCCCAGCCCCTAGGGAATATTCAGTAAAGTCTGGAGATATTTTTGGTTGTCACAATCAGAATGTGCTAGTGTCATTTAGCAAATAGAGGCCAGGGATGCTGCATGTGACCACACAGAACAGCCCTCCATAATAAAATATAGTCTGGCCCCAAATGTCAACATTGCCAAGGCTAAATTATCCTGCCTCACTGAGACAAAAAAATAGGGGCTACCCTTGGAGTAGATTAGTAGGATGCAGACACTCAATGTGCCCCTAACTCTCATGTCTATCACCTTCCAGGTATAATAGAACAAAGTTAGCAAAGAAGGAGACCAGGCTAATACTGGACCTAGAACGCATTATGCATTTTACTGTGCGCACTTCAACTTGAGCTCTGATCGATTTCCATGTGTTTCTGCAATGCCAGAAAATCTAGCCCTACTAAATCACTCCTCTTCAACATCGCCTGTCACAAAGCACTACCATTTACAACGCGCTTGAATTTCTAGCCAATAGGTCTGTGCAGAATGTACATCTTAAAAAAATAATGACATTCTGGACAGTGAGTTCCCAATCACAGCCTACTGCAGGAAATTAATAACTTCTCCGAGCAGCTGTTGTAACCACTGACTTCAAGAAATGATAGTGTAATATTAAACTGCAGATTACCATCTTTTGAGGGAAATAATCTCTTTAAAATTGTCCATTCTCTGGTTTTAATGAGAAAATTGGACATTGGAATATTGATGTCAGAATAACTAATTACTTCTCATAGTTTCCATTTCAGGTTACAAGGGTATTTCAGGATTTAAAATGTGTCTAATGCAATTCTGTATCCCCTGATTCAGATATTTGGGGATACTGAGGCAAAATTACTCATGAGCAGCAGAACAAAGGGTTAATGTGAGGGGTAGAAAGATGGCACCTTCTTAGCTATACCCTTTGACAGCCTCTATACTGCTTTGTCTGCTGCTTCAAGACAGACTCTGGGAGATAGCTGGGAGGCTGTGCTCTAGTTCCAGCTAGGCCTAGCATCACTTCTATCCAGAGACCTAAAGAGCATTTGAGGCATTCCATAGAGCTTTTAACAACAATTTGAGTCAACCCAAATGGAATATTCTGTCAGTTCTGGCAAACAAGATCACTGATTAGCAAGAGAAACCAATCTAATTCCCAAAGTTTACCCCACTACCAGGCACATGGGGATGGTCAGAGCATCAACGGAAGGGGACAGAACCCTGCACTGGCAGTTGGCACCTCTTCCCAGCTCTACTGCTGACCTGGATGCCTCTCCTATCTGCTCTGCGCAGTTCTGTCATGGTTCAATGAGCAGGCTTTTGTAGGTGTCACTGAGCCTCAGCCTTCATGCTCAGCCAATCCATGAGGCAGCAAGAGGACATGGGTCTGCAGCCTTAGGCTGTCTCTCGGTCTGTCTCAGGGAAACCTGGGGAAGGAGGGCTCAGTGCTGAGGCTCTCTGCGTGGCTCTGGCAACCCCTTGTAAAAGGCACACATTAAGCTTGTTCTGTGCAGTGATTTACAAATGAGAGATGGAAGGGAATGGGAACAGAGCTATGACAGAGGAGAGAATGGCACATGAGCAAAGGCGAAGTTTGCTGAGGGATGGCAAGCAGTTCAACCAGGTGTAGCAGATTGTATGTGGAGGAAAGAACAAGTGGCTGGGTTAAAAAAGTGGGTTGAAAAATCTGGGAAGCCAGATTGTAGAAAGTGTTGACTGCCCAGTGAAGGAGTTTGGGTTTTCCATTGTCTTCACCGGGCAGTCAAGGCATTTATATGACTTCACATTTACATGTTGACACCTCTGTCTCTTCAGCTATAGAGTGGGATCCTTGAAGTCAGAGGCCTGTTCTTTCCCCCCATCTCCAGGCCTCAGACAAGGCTGAGGTGGACAGGTGGTGGAGAATCCACTCTTTTGCTTTCAGATAGGGCTGCTGTAGGATAGCCCAGCCTCAGGTCTGTGCTGCAGTGTAAGCTGAGCTCCATAGTTTCATTAGGGAGCAAGGACTTGCACCGAGATCGCTACTCCAGCCAAGAAGCAGGTGAGATGACCATGGGACATCCCCACCTTCATTTGCTTCTGTAACTCTGAAGGTATTTTTCTTTCCTCATCTAAAAATCAGCTGCAAATGTGAGCCCAGGTACAGACATTATCAGGCTGGCTCACACCCAGATTAGGCTGGCACCTTTTTTTTCTGAAGTCTACTTCTAGAGCAGTATCAGTGTCCAATGTTATCAGGAGCTGCAGAGACTTGAGCCCCAATGCCTTTCCCAGGATGGAATCACAGGGCAGTTGTGTTGGGCAACAGGAAGAGAGCAGGATGGATAAGGAAGGAGGCCCTTGAGGCATCAGGCCAGAGAGGAGAAGTAAAACCATTGAGATATGTTTCCCTCTTTGTGTAATCAAAAGCAGGTTACTCTACTCTGAGCCACCAGTTCCTCAACTTTAAATAGGGATTACAAACCTACTTTGCAAGAATATTAGAAGAATTAAATAGAATCATATATACAACCTAGCATGGGGCCTGCTATCATGGACCCTACCTGCATGCCATGATGATATGCAAAAGGCATCTGCAGGCCTTCCTCAATCCATTAAGTTCAACACTTAATAATCAAATAGAACTTCCAGCCAAATCTGACTCTGGGTCCTCTAAATTCCACCTGATTTTATAGTCAGTTAACAGCAAGGGTGTCTCCCTTATTAGTGAAGCATAGGGGCCCTTTACAGCCTTTGTGTCCCTGAGTCCTTGGCTTCTAGCACAGTGCCTGTAGGCAGGACGTTACAAAATTATAATCCAAATCCAGTTTTTTTTTTAATTAAATGATTTCTATTTACAAAACAAGACTTTTTTTTCTGGGTTTTCTATTGACCACTCCACCCTGATTTTAAAATCTAAGGAGAAAATGACCCGTGACTCTGTGATTACCCCTCTCACTGGAGCTCTGTTAGGTTTGCAGAGTCTCTGCCAACTCCTAACATCTGGCACCTGACCTCACTCTTCCAGGATTCAGTTTCCTCATCTGTGATAGTCCCTTTCTGGTCTTGCAAAATGTGTTTCTGTGCCTTTTACAAGAACATGTTGGACTAAAGTTTCCAGGGACATAAACTGTCAGACCTGGATGGGGTGGGGGACCTCATGAGCATCTGGCTCAAGTTTCCTAACGTCCCTTGAGTCTCAGTTCTCTTTGAGAATTTGATGAAAGCGGTGACTGCTGAACCTAGAAAAAGGCACCAGAAGGCACAACGGTGGATGCAATCTCAGGGGTTTCGTGACTCTCCTAAAGCCCCTCTGAGGATCCCAGGCTAGGAACCCTTGGTCTAGGTTCAGAAACCAAGGCCCAGAGAGGGGAAGGCTTGTTCAAGGTCATCCAATAAGTGTGTGAATAAAACTTCAGCTCTTGTTGCACATTTTGCAGCGACTGTCTCTCATACATGCACACATGTCAGCATTACTGTCTGAAAGCATTTTTCATATATATTTTCTTACAGCAGCTCCATAAACTCATCTGAATTGGTATTATTACAAGTGTCTGAAATACATGGAGACCATAAGGACTCTGTAACTTCCCTAAAATTCAACAGTTAGGAGAGAGTACAGGTTGGACTTTAAATCTGGGAGTCCTGATTCAAACACATTTGCTCTCTGCCATGTCACAGTTCTGCAAACAACCTAGTGTAACCTTAGGGAGAGTGAAATAGAGGCAGAAAGTGGCTTGATAAAGAACCACAGGAACAATGCAGGTGGCTGATTAATCCAGACAGGGAGCATCTAGAAAGGCTTCATGGGCCTTGGATGGGATGGTACAAAGGGCAAGGAAGGTTTTGTCTGCCTGGAGGAATAGCATGGGCAACATTATTCCAGGTACAGTAAAAAAAAAGACAGAGACATAACTTCATCATGGGAATATGGAGGTGTGTGGAGAATAGCAGGTTTCCCAGTCAGTGAAGCTGTCAAAATAAACAAATGGAATCATTACTATTCTATCACTTTAGCAAGCACCACCATCAACACCCTAGCGGCTATTCTTCTGTATTTACATGGGGTAAACTAGTTTCCTATCCAGGATCCAAATGCACTTTACATAGTTATTTTCAGGGGGCTAAAGTTTGCTTTAATACTTCTTAGCAGGAGATCACTTGTTTCCTTTTTCTGAAATCTTTCCATACAGTAAGTACTTTATGAGGAGACAGCAATTTATTACAAAGGGTAATGAAGTTTTGTGTATTGAGTCATTCAAGTGTAGCCACCTGCTGGCAAAGATGACATTATATCTAGTTGATCTTCATAAAGTGTAAGAATGCTTCAAATATAAGTGTCTGTAGCTATATGATTGTGACAATTCTAGAGGTCAGCTTACCACAAAAGAGATTTGCCCCTGAGATCCTAGTGCCTGGAAAAGAAAGTTTTAGAATTAAGTGTAGTAAATTTTATAATGGTTGATCTTGTATATGTCCCAACACAATTTACTCAATTCCTCTAGAAGGAAGCATGGAGTTTTCTAGCCAGGAAAAAGCCCTATCTCTGGACACAGGACTCTTTCTCACCTCAGACTGCCTTTTAGGATGGGGGCATCCCATTTCCACCCTAAATACTCCAGAAACCTGTTGTTAGTTTTTAAGTGCACTCTATGCAAACTCATTTGTTTGGTTATTTGGCAATTCATTTATTCATTTCCTCATTTAACAAGTACTTACTGAACATGGCCACATGCCACCTTGGGAACACTTTGATGAGCAAGGTAGATGTGCTCCCTGCCTCCTGGTGCTTACCGTGCACCAGCAGCATTAAGCCCCAGGACTCTCCTGTGGATCTGAGGGCAATGAGGATCTTCTTGTTTCCTGTCTCCATTTTCATAATTTCTAGCCCTATTCTGATCTCCAAACCAGTGCTGGGCTCTAAGTTTGGCAAAGAGGGTCATCTGTCTTTGGAAGGTGTGGATAAGGGCAGAAAATCAGTGGCAGACTTATAAATGTATGAGACATCCTGTCCTCTTCTTCTCCTCAAGGTGACAATCTATCTAATCACCAGGACCCAAGGAAAGCCAGTACAGTTAGTGCTAGAAAAGGAATCCCTTCTTTCAGTGCTGGAATTGACAATATCATTGACCATGTGGTAAGGTAAGCTCCTCCCATCACCTAAAATATCAACTCAGTCTTTCTGGTGCTCTAACCCCTATCTGTTCTTAAGAGCCCAGTTATGTTTCTCACTCCACCAGGCCCCCTTTCCTGACACCCAGCTTTCTCCCAGCTCTCTCCTCTTATGAACTTCTATAGCCTTTGCCTGTGGTCCCCATAGAGATATGCTGCTTGTTTCTTTAGTCAGATTGCCAGATGCTTGTCTAAGGGGTCTTATCCCTTGTTCATATTGGAGAAAAAAAGCATGCAAAAAATTCTCTTTGACTTAAGTGTAAAGCCACTAGACTGTGGCTTCTTTGGAGGAGGCAGACTAACACAGTGCTTAAAAGAGTGATCTCTTGAGTTAGACTGCCTGGGTTCAAATCTTGCAACTATATGACTTTTAGTAAGCCAGTTAACCTTACTGTGCCTCAGTTTTCTCATCTGTGAAAGGGAAATGACAATAGTACTGACTCCTAGCATATTTGCAATAATTAAATTATTCAACCTAAGATAGAACAGTGCCTGAAACTTCAGTGAGCGTCAATAAAGTTATCATTACAGTCTCGTGCTTAAGGATAAGACATCGCTCAACAACACCCCGTAGAATTCTAAACAAATAGATGTAAATGGGAATTTAGAAGTAATATGATACAATCTCCTATCTGATCCTTAGAATTGATTGGTAAAAGAATAAGGAAATAAACCTAAGCCTTTAAAAATAATCTTAAAGGCCTTTGTGGATCTTTAAATACCAGCATATTAAAAGGAGCACAATAATTGGACTCGCGAGAATACTCACTCTTGAAACCTTTGGTCACCATATAAGCAGTTAGACCTTCCAGAGGCCGCCATTCTCTGAGAAGGCCCAAATTAGTCCTGGTGGAGAGACCATATGTAAAGGCCCTGAAACTATGTGAAGAGAGAGAGGGACAGAGGCCTAGCAAACCTCAACTGACATTCCTACAGACCCTTCTTTTCTAGATCCTGACCGCAACTGCAGGAGAGACCCTATGCCAGAACTGTCTAGTCCCTCTTTTCTCAAATTCCTCAGAACTGTGAGATATGACTCAGAAATTGTGAGATATAACAAAATGAGTGCTATTATTTTACATCACTAGGTTTTGTGATGATTTGTTAAACATCAATAGATAACCAGAACAGATTTTTATTTCTCAATTGAAATATTTCTTTCTTTTATTTCTCCCTCCAGGAGAGAATTCAGGAGAAGTTTCAGTCTGGTTAAAATGGCCACCTCTTCCCAGGTCCTTTGTACATTAGTGGGAGGGAAAAATGTCATTTTATCTTGTAAGAAATCAAATAGTGGACTTTCCCTCTACCGGAAAAACAAGGAGAATACATATACAAAATTATGCTTGCTTTAAATCGAATGCCATTGTGTCATAGTGGAGCATGGGAGAAAAAGTTGTGCTGTGTGACCCTGTGAAACACAAGGCTTGTATGCCCAACCTGGGGAGCAGTGACTCTTCTCGTTCTCAGCCAGGCAGTGGATTGAGCTTGATGCTCGTGGTGCCCGCTCTTCCACAAGCTTGGGCAAGGATCCCAATGAAGGCTCTGATGGTGATTGCGTGCTGCATTCCTCCTTGGACCCCTTTCCAGTATGATGAGCTCTAAGGAAGCAGCACATAAAGCAGCACAGGAAATGCAAGACATCTGTACTGGAGCCTGGGAACACTTTCCCCAGTCCCCTTGCTGGTGTGGTCCTGGCATGGAGCTGGGCCTCTGGAGAAATGAATTAAAGAAACAAGTCCAGTGGAGAACATGGGATTCCACTTCCATTCATCTTCCTTATTTTGCAAACACCGCATTCTGCAAATCCCATGCCAGTAAAGCTCTTGGATCAGCCCTCAAATTCTTCTGGATCCTTTAGGGAGGAGATGTCAGGGCTGGCCAAGAATCTAAGTGAAAACTGATGACAGAAGCTGACATTAATCAGCTACACAGTATGTTCTTCCCAGCAGGTTTCTTCCAATAAATCAAAGGCCAGCAAATCCGAGGGGTGTTTAGCCATGAGAGAGCAACTGTTTGCTGTTCGCTTTCCTTGCTAAAGATGATGAATCTAATGTTTAATTGAATCCAACACCGGTGGCCGTGGGAGTATTTGCCGTAGGTGTTGGGTGCACATACCATGTACAGTCACATTTCCTCACAGGCCAGGGGCTTTATCCAAGCGTCCCCCTGCTACTCGTGGTTCACCGTCTATATTGATGTTTTGTGGCCAAACAGAGTCACCACCCTATCTATGATCTGAAACAGACTCACTCTTTCAAATTGGAGTACTCAGGCTGTTTTGGTGACCAAACAATTTATTTTCCTTCCTGTAAGATCTAATTAAGATACTTAAAGATATTAATGTAATAATGTTTGTTTAAAATCCAACTCTTTCAACGTTAATATGTGTGGCAGCAGGAGTGCTGGATTCAAAGGACACGATAGCCTTGGGTCTGAGGCTTTGCCCTACCCATCCTACCCATGCTACCTGAACTACCTCATTTTGCCTCTCTGAGCCTCTTTTTTTAATCTCTAAACTAAGGATTGAAATCTATGCCATTGATTTGTGATAAAGATTAATGAAGAAAATGGCTTGTGGAGGCTGTTCTTATACTGAGAAATCACTATGAACATAAAGAATACAATTATTATGATTTGTATCATTAATAATACAGTATTTTCTAAGGAGCATGAAAAATGGTAGTGGTTCATATAGCAGGAAGTTCTGGAGGAGAAGCATGAGAAAAGCAAACCCTAGGGTCTCAATAAATCCAATACAAAACTCTCTTCTACGACAATATCTTGATGGAGATAAGATATTTACCTCCAAGGCAAGGCCCGTAACATATCTGTACTGGGCCCATAAATGGGACAATTATGAACAAAATAACTATTCCAGGATCAATTACTTGGATAATTAAGACAACAGTGTTACTTGTGTGTGAATGATAGTTTAATTACAAAGTTACTTTGCATAATTTTGGAAGGTAGACCTAGCTATGCTGTTATCATTCCGACTTTTTTAGTTTCCACCCCAAAAAGGTCTTGGTCTCAGTAAGAAAAGGAATGTGAAGTCTGGCATTTTTTTTAATCACAGGAAGAATACCTTTAATACAGTTTTTTTAAGGTCAGGGGTACATGTGCAGGCTGTGCAGGTTTGTTACGTAGGTAAACGTGTGCCATGGTGGTTTGCTGCACAGATCATCCCATCACCTAGGTATTAAGCCCAGCATCCATCAGCCATTCTTCCTGATGCTCTCCCTCCCCTAACATCCCCAGCTGAAAAGCCTCAGTGTATGTTGTTACCCCACCATGTGTACATGTGTTCTCATCATTCAACTCCCACTTACAAGTGAGAAAATGTAGTGTTTGGTTTTTCTGTTCCTGCATTAGTTTGTGAAGGATAATGGCTTTCAGCTCCATCCATGCCTGCAAAGGACACGATCTCATTCTTTTTATGGCTTCATAGTATTCCATGGCACATATGTACCACATTTAATGATTATCAAAATAATTAATACAGTATAAATTACTTATATTTATATTTTTAAACATTATTACATTTATTATGACATTACAGTGTTACAATTGTCCTAAAATAAGAAGGACAATTATCATACCCATCTACAGATTGAGAAACTGAAGTTCAGATAGAAAGCAATTTGCCTGAGGTCTCACAGATACCTGTGGCACCAGATCAGAATTTTCTGGAACAGAATTTTCTGACTCTTCATCAGATCTATATATGCCTTATGCTTTTAGTGATCATCTTATTTGAAAATGTAAAAACTTAGAATATCTAAATTGCTTAAGACAATTTTGTGACAGACATCAGTACTGTCAAGAATATCAGCCTAGACATCTCATAAAAATGTATCAAAGTACCCAGTATATAGGTCAGTACACCTACATCCAGATATTTATTAAAAATGATATGCATAAATACTTCTTCTCTTCACTTTCTCCTACAAGAATCAGTGTGACACAATGTTTACACACAAAATTTTAGAGTTGAACCGATTCAGGTCACTTACTAGTTCTGTTACTTTAAGGCCTTGATCTCTTCACATATAAAATAGAGCTAATATCGACCTAATCGGGCTATTGTGAGGATGAAATAAGCTAATCTAGCCTTGTCTCTGCCTGGTAATTTGGGTCTCAGCTCCAAGTTTACCCTATCAAGGGAGGCTTTTCCAAACTTCAGAAGCTGAATCTCCTCTCCCTCATTGTCCATTACTCTTGATGCCACCATGCTATTTTCTTTTTTGAAGTTTTTCCTGTCTAAATCTATGTGATTTGTTATTGAGTTTATTATTCATCTTTTTTCTCAAAACTGCAGGTCTTAAGTGAGGAAAAACTTGACTCTAAAGGACACTAGAATATAGTTAGGTACCAATTTGGGGGCACAATCCACATTGCATTGAATGTTTATAGCACCCCTGATATTGTGCAATGCTCAGTCTTTCCAGCCATATAAGTGGCAGCCCTGCTGTTTCACAATGGATGCTTAATTGGTCTTTATGTGCACAAAGTGCACAATAACATTAAACATATATTGCAGGCCAGGTTTTGTGATAAGGGCAAGGAATATAGAGAAGAATAAAACACAGCCTCCACTCTCCATAGGTTCATAGTCGGGCACTGAAATGTTTTATTATTCTATGGTTTTGAGATTCAAATGCAGCAGCAAGATAGCTAGCTTTATATAACTTTCTAAATATAGAACCTATTTGATACAAAACACCTTACTATTTTGTATCATTTGTATCATGATGATAATTACCATCATGATCAAACCAACATATGATTTCCCGACTCTGCTTCCTGCAAAGTTCTGTGTCAGTTGCCGTGGGCGCACAGAAATGACTAAAGCATAGTCCTAAATTTACTATATTCTACATGTGGTTAATATTTTAAGTTTTCACATTCATAGAGGATGAAAAAAATCCATGGCTTCATGATACCTAAAAGCTATAAGATAATGTGTTGGCTTATGCCTGGAGTACATATAAACCCAATGATCCAAGCAGTGGCATTTATTCCATTCCTTAACTAATGACCAAGTATAGAAAGGTCACTGTTTGCTTACAGTAGGTCCAGCGTAAGTATTTAGAATCTTATGTTGAAGTTCTGCAATCCAAACCTTCTTTTGATGAAGGCAGGTTGGTATTAGCAGAGGGGAGTGCATTTTTTCCTCGCACCCAGGTGGACACTTGCTCACGTTGCAAAATCAGTATCCTGCCACTTACCAATAATTATCTATCCTCCTCAGAGAGGCCAGATCCTCAAAAGCCATGGAAGCCAAGTTCAGTGGAATTGCCACCATGGCCAGCAACAAAGGCTGCTGTCAGTGTATGCGATAATCCACAGTAGTGGTGCTATAGCTGCTCACACTGCACAATTTATATAAAAGAACAAAGGACACAACCAAACTAGACTGTGCTTGTCATAAATTCCAATGACACATTCAAGGGCATTGAGAAATTGAGGGACAGCAATATCTTGAGAAATATTTTAATGCCTTGCTCAAAATTCTAACTCTCTTTCCCTGTTCTCTGATGCCTCCTTCCCAAGCCTTCCACAACTCTGAAACATGCCTGTCAGAGCTTCATTTTTCCTTAGTCCTCCCTCACATTAGTTCAGTCAATGTGGTACATTTTCAATTAATGTTTCACAGGTTTATACAAGGGACTTCAGAGACCACAATGTCTAGCCACTCAACTTACAAATGACCATCTAAGAGAAGAGTTGGCTCCAAGAAATGACACAGTCTTCTAGAAGACAGGCTTGCTTTTACAGGAATGTGAGAAACCTCTACTTTCTGAGAAGATAAATGAAGGAGGAGGAAGAGGATCTTGAATAAAAATCTGGAGCTTGTACAGATGTCCAAAAAACAGCAACTCACAGAATTACTTATGAGTCATGTAAATTCATATAGTAGTGAGTGAGTACGCCAAGTGAATGAACAGGTCCACATGTACTCCTGGGCTAAAGGCAGAGTATTAAAAAGATGAAACTTCCCTTCCCTTCCCTTCCCTTCCCTTCCCCCGCCTTCCCTCCTCTTACCTCCCCTTCTCTCCCCATGTCCCCTCCTCTCCTTTCTCCTCCTCTCCCTCTTCCCTTCCCCTCCCCTCCTCTTCTCCCCTTCTCTTCTTCTCTTCTTCTCTTCTCTTCCCTCTTCTCTTCTCCTCTCCTCTCCCCTCCCCTCTCCTCTCTTCTCTTTTCTCCTCTCTTCTCCTCTCCTTTCCTCTCTCTTTCTCTCTCTCTCTCTCTCTCCCCCACCATCATCACCACCACCGCCACCACCACCATCATCATCATCATACAAGCTATTAAAAGAGGAGTTAAGATACTGGTAGAGACAAATTGGAAATGTAATGATTTAAGCAGAGAAGACTAAGAGGGAATGTTCAAGAATGATGTCAGGATTAGGGAAATAGAAAGATAGAGGGTTGTCAGAGGGAATCAAAGTATTTCTCAAAACGAGGCCTGGTGAGCCAAAGAGAAATTAAATGAATATGCTGATGTTTAGTTTCCCAGCTTTACATAGGAAATTGAAGATGGTTTTGTGAAAGACAAGTGGGGAAAAGGTGAGCCTATAAACCATTATCCACTCAAAGTGTTGATTTAAAACACTTGCTTTTAAGCACACTAAGGATTCAATATGTATTTGTTAAAATTTGCAAAGTGATTTTTTCCCACAAATTGTTTGAACAAAATACCTTGAGGAATTGGAAACATGCCAAGCAGAAAAAAAAAAAGATATCCCACATAAAGGATACTTCTGGAATTTTACGGGCTATATGCCAGAAACTTCCCAACCAAAGAGGTCTTCTCTCCCCATCTCCCACCATTTTAGGCTGAGATGGCAGGGGACTGGGCCTTAGAGGCTGCAGAAAACAGAGGCCCTGGGGCTTGGCTTCAGAATATCTTATATGTATTTCCAGCACTAGGTTACCTTCGTATTGGTGGAAAAGTGAGGAAAGGAAAGTTGCAGACAAAGTTTCATCCTGACTTGAAATGTCCTTAAAAGGCAATGTTGATGAATTTTCCAAGTGTGTGGCCTATCTGAGTAACAGAGAAACATGTTTCTTTGTGGAGTACTTGGATATTCTTGAGATCTGGATCCAGGCTGGGAAAGATAAAGCACATGACTGAGGTTCATGCTTGGTTCACAGTGGATTTGTTCCCCTCCTGCTTCCTACCCTATTATCTGATGATATAGGATCCCCTGATGTCCTGTGGGGTCACAGAGTCTGCCATTTGGAAAAGGCTGCAAAATCCACTCTGTCCTAGGAGGCATAACTGTGTGAAGCACAGGGTGGAGTATGCAGGCATTTCCTCAATCCCTAAGGAGTGCAAATCAGGAGACCCCTCTTTGAGGCACCAAAGGAAAGGGAGAAAAAAGGATGGGAGAACTATCTAGGAAGAAATATGGGATGATCAAATTACTGTAGCTGGAAGAGTTATGAGGTTAGTAGTTCATTCCACCACCTCTTGTTTGTTTCCATACATGGAGGAGTGACTTTGATCCTTAGGGTAACTGCAGTGTGTATGGGAAAAGAGGAGGAGAAGTGGGGGTGAGCAGCTGCACCAGGTCTCTGGATCTCACTGGCCACTGCGGGCCAGCCTGGCTTACACAAGAGAACAGGAGAGGACAGTGTACCCAGTTCAGAGCATGCAGTGGTAGATCCTCAAAGAATGCCTGGAGGAAGGCTAGAAATGGAAAGGAATAGACAAATACAGAGAAGAATGGAGGGAGAAAAGGCAGAAGAGCAGAGACTAGTGTCTAAAGCGATGAGTGGAGAGAACAGTCTTCTGCATGCCTCACAGCTCTCTGCCTCTTCTCTTCTGTACCTATAAATAACGATAATACCTTAATTACCTTCTCCTTGTGATGCAGTTTCTAAGAGCTTTTAATGTACTTTCTCATGTTCCCCACAATGAGCAGGCTATAAAGGCAGCCTTTGCAATCTCATTTTATAAATTAGTATGTTGAGGCTCAGAAATGTTTAGGAGTCCCTGGAGTCACATAGCTAATAAGAGGAAAGACGGGTATTGCACCTCAGTTGTCACAATGAAAGGAGGGGAGGCAACAGTCATTTATCTAGAGATTCACCACAGTCGTTTCATGGCTCAGGACTTTCAGGGAGCAGCCAGGAAAAGAGAGACACATGGCGAGAGGTCTGCAGCAAGAAATTTGGACAAAAAGGCCAAAGAGACAAGAGGTTAAGGGGAGAGAGGTGTGAAGGAAAGAAAACACTCCATCTGTAGCCACAGCCTCTGCATCATCGTGTTTCACTTAACAGACTGTGTCCTGGACTGGGGAATGGATGAAAAGATAAACAACACCCACGCAGACTGACTAAGTCCTCTGAGACAGCAGCAGCATGGAGGGGAGCCACAAACAGATTCTCACCCAGGCCTTCCAGGGGTAAGAGGGGAGGAAGGTGCCTATGAGACCATCAGTCGGGGCCAGAGAGGGTAGGAGACAGGCTGGAATGTGCCAGCCTCTGTGCAGAAGTGGCATAAGAACAAGGAAAGAGTAAGCAGTGTGGCAGGTGTCTTTTCCTCATCAATCCTTCGTCCTCAGATCCCTGCTTGGCCACCCCTGAGACTCACATTCCTGAATGATTCAGTGTCATTATTGATTCCTGCTGTGAATTCACGGGATTGGAGGGGAGGAAAGATGACTTGAGCATAGCAGTCCTCCAAAAGCATGAATTTGGCCTAGTTAGCACCCAAAATGCTCTGCTCTTTGCAGCTTTCTGCACCCACAGGATTTTATTAGCTAGAACACCACCTATGCTATTGCATCTTTAATGTTTTCGTAAGAAAATGTTCATTATTTCAGCCAGTTATTCACTCGTGCAATAAACATATTTACATATTCCTTCACATATTCAACAAACATTATTGTGCAGCAGGCACCTTGCTAGAAATGAGAGGTGTCTAGCCTTGAAGGTCCCAGCCTTTTTGGAGAACACAGCCTGGTGAGAAATCCAGGCAAGTCAGGTAACAATTTCAATGTAGGTGCTGGGGAAGACCTGAGAGAAGCAAGTGCTGGTGGAGCTGTACTGAGCCAAGTTGGAGGCTGGGTAGTGGGTGGGAGGAGAGCCTGGGCAATCTAACAGGGGAGCCTAGAGGTGCCACAATCCTGTAGGAACCAGACTCCATCCCAAAGGTCACCCTTTAGTACCCAGAAAGTGGCCTTTGTCCTCATGGCTCTAGATGGCTAATAGAGCCCCAGCCATTACCTCTCCACATCATAACATAAGCATGAAAAACAAACTCAATGGATCGCATACTACTTGATAGTCCTAGGAATTAAGAAGTGTCTTCTTTCATGCTTATTTTTTAACCATCATTCATTTACAACCAGTAATATGTGAAAAATCCATCCTTCCCATGTGTTGGTGGGGTATGAAGTTACTTCTAAGGAGGTGAAGGGACTGGGGTTGGGGCACCTGGCACCTTCCACCTCTGATGAGTTGACACCACACCTGATTGCAGTCATGGTCCTTGATGACCTGGTTCCATTTGAGGCTGTAGCTACAGAGTTATATCCTTTCTCATTTTCCTGCCACTGCGTCTTTCTACTTAGAAAGAGTACGCAGCCCACAGCCTGGAAGGTGGTGTTATGGAAGCACTGAACATGGCTCCAGGAGTCCAGTGAACTTGGAGCAGGGCCCTTAGAAAGTTGTGTAATATGAGATAAGCCATTTCAATGTTGAACCTGTTTCTCGTAAAATCAGAGATGGCAATAATATCTGCCTGAAGATTTTTATGAACGTTAGATGCAAGTAAGTCTGACAAGTCATTCAATAAAAATAATAGTTTCCTTTCTTTCTTTCTTTTTTTTTTTTTTTAGGCAGAGTCTCTCTCTGTCACCCATCCTGGAGTGCAGTGGCTCGGCTGACTGCAACCTCTACCTCCCACGTTCAAGCAATTCTCCTGTCTCAGCCTCCCGAGTAGCTGGAACTACAGGCACCTGGATCACTCCCGCCTAATTTTTGTGTTTTTAGTAGAGACGAGGTTTTGCCATGTTGTCCAGGCTGGTCTCAGACTCCTGACCTCAGGTGATCCGCCCACCTCAGCCTCCCAAAGTGCTGGGATTACAGGCATGAGCCACCACGCCCGGCCTCTTTTTCTTTAAAGGGGTTTTCTTTTCCAAAATATTTGCAATCCTAGGAAATTTAGGGTCTCTTTAAAAAAAAAAAGGAGGGGGAAGTAACTCAACCACAAAAACTCTGTGCTGACCTGGATTTGAGGAAGACTCCATAACTAACAGCTCAAATTTCCTTCTCTCTTGGCTGACAGAATTGGAGGCAAGACCTGATACTTATCTACTTCCATCTGTTTCTGTGTGCAGACTTATTATAACGAGATGTTTCTATTCCAAAACAGTGGCCCCTTCTATACAAGTGTGCAAAACATTTCTCTAAATTTCCTAGTGTTTTGCTCTGAGGCTTCCAACTGCAAAATCAAGAAGTGCTGAAAAGATGGCTTTTTCCTGACTTATTTGCTGCGGGGCAGCCCCTGGGGAGAGCAGGGCTGAGAGACAAACCTGGGGTACGAATGTGATGCACAGAGCCCTTCCTTAGTTTCCAAGTCCCCCAGTATCCCAGCAACCCTTCCCTGAGCACATCCTCAGCTTGAGCCAGGTTGGCTTCTTCCGTGTTCCCTAAACGTAGCCTCTTTTCCCATCTGTGTGGTTTGGGTTTATCTCTCTGCTCTTTCTTCCCATCATTCTTTATTGAAGTCTTGTATCCAATTCAAATGCCCTCTTCTGAATTTCTCTGACTTCCCGACTGCCTAATTACACTCCCACACCTCAAAGACACCACAGCCCTTTCTTTGACCTCCTAAAGGGCATGGGTCACTTGCTCCCTGGTATCAGAGTTCTTGATATCCATAGCTGATGTGCTGGATGCTTCTCACATTGGGGTTAGGAGAAGTCATAGAGAGATTCCTGGGTGGGAGAATGGATTTGCACTCATAGATTATCCTATGTTTCTGCTTCTTCCTCTATGAGGGAAGACATTATATGAGTTAAGTCTTGAGCTTCTATGACATCAGCTTTGTAAATGAAATTCCTGCTGAGATACTCTTTGGCCACCATTTAAGTAAACTACTATTTTTTTGGTCCTTCAAGAGTAATCTCTCTCTGTACAACAGGGATCCCAACTTCAACCCCCACCCAAAGCCCTGCTTCCCATCTGTAGCTCCTACCCCTCACTCCCCACCCCATCTCCAAGCTTAAGCTGTGCTATGCTCTACAACTGGGGATAATAGAAGGGTGGGTCATGGAATCATCTGGACAGACTGAAGTCTTGAGCATTGCTCTGACGGGAAGAGCTTTCCACAGGCACAGGTGGGTACTGAGGAAGATTTGTTGACATCTGATAAAAGAAATCTGATGGGTCTGGCTTTCTTCTGACCCCTCTGGTTTCCAGGAGCCTCCATTCCTACAGGTCCGAACCTCTACTTAGAAACTGAGTGTTAGAAACTAAATGTTTGTGTCCTCCCCAGATTCTTAGGATGAAGCTGTAATCACCAATATGAGGACATTTATAGGTGGGGCATTTGGAAGGTAATTCGGTTTAGATGAGGTCATGAGGGTGGAGCCTCCATGATAGGAATGATTCTCTCCTAAGAAGAGGAAGAGGCCAGAACCCCTTCTCTCTCTACCATGTAAAGATACAGTGAGAAGGTGCCATCTGCAAACAAGGAAGAGGGCCCTCACCAGACACTAATTCCAAGGCACCTTCACCTTGGACTTCCCAGCCTTCAGAACTGTGAGAAATAAACGTCTCTTGTTTAAGCCACCCAGTCTATGGCATTTTGTGATAGCAGCCCCAGCTGGTTAAGATACTGAGGAAGCCTAAAAGCTGATACATATATTTACCCCAAGTTGCTTTTAGGGAAGGCATGTGGAATGCAAGTCTTGGCATAGAAGCCTACACACACTGGTTGGTGTAGCCTGACCTTCAATTATTGCTTATAGACATGGAACCCAAAATGTTAGATTCCAGGTTTTGGAATTCCAGGCTTTGGAATCTAACATTTTGGGTTCCATGCCTGTGAGCAATACGTTCATAGGAATGGCTCCTATACTAGAGTGAGCTGACAATCTTACTTTATAGAACATAATTTTTTCTTTTTTTGCAATTTTTCCTACTTCGAGAACAAATAAACCTGATATGCAATGAGCGTAGGTTTGTAGACAAACCTGTAACTTAAACCTCAAAACTGCCCAGTGAAATAAGTATTATGATCCTCATTTTACAGATGAGAAACCTGAGGCTTAGAGGAGTTATTTTCTCCAGCACCATACGGCAATCAAGTGTTAGATGGAACTGGGATAGAAATGCAAGTTTGTGTTCATCCAAATCCCTTGTTATTTCTAGTGTGATCCATGTCTGATTGTCAGTTTGGAGTGCTGATGTTTCTACAGACACCTGGTTCACATGACAAATCAGACAAAAGAAGTTCCCAGATCATTTTTAAATGACAACCAGGAACCATAAATGTCCAGCTTCAAAATCATGTAAGTATATTTTTTATTTATCCTTAGATTGATCAAATACTGACCACTTTTTCGTTTGACTTTTTATTACACAATACATGCATCTTTATCACGGCATCTATAACACTTGAGCACATTATATTACATGGCAGGCAGAGTTAGAAGAACATTCCACACAATAGGAGATCTCCTTGAGAGCAGAGATTATGATTTAGTCACCGATATCCACACCACCCTCAGATCCAGGCAAGGGTTGCCTGCCCCAGGCCCTAAACATCAGGCATCCTCACACTTTGCAGAAGATCCCTGGGAATTTTCTAAGTTCCCTTCTCGTGCCAATGATCACTCTGGGGCAGCAGTTTCATTTGGGTTAATGGAGTTGTTCTGGGGTCATGTGGCCTGACCTTGGTTTTAGGATTCTAGGAGGGGGTTTGGAAAGAGGATAGTTCCTGCTGGCCAGCATAACGTTTCTTTCATGGAATGGCATGAAATTAGTTTCCAGATGCTTCTGACATACTGATTTTTGGTGACTTAAGTAGTTTTTATAGAAAATTACTTGCCCAGAGGCCTACAGACCTAAGGGCATCTCCAACCCGCATGCACCAAGTGACTGTTCAGTAAATACTTGTTAAATCAATTAATAAATGGTTAAATGGTCTGTGAACACTTCAAAATAAATTGAAGGACGATTCTGGTATTTTCCTTATTGTGAAATTGGCCTAATTTAAGAGTCATTTTCCAAAGAAAAACTGTACAAAACTCATTCCACTAATTAGACTCAGTTTGGTGAATTGCTCCCAGAGTTAATGATAACATTGATACCAATTGGTCTCTTCAGAAAGTCATGCACTCTGTCAGTGTTAGCTAAATTCTCTGGGCTTTGGACATCAATGTTCTTGTATCCTAGACACATTCATTAAATGTATCTATACTCCTTAGTCATGGGAAACCTGGCATCTTTTGATAGCTGTCCTCCCTCCATGGCCACTACCCCAGGGTCATCAGGGAAGATCAGGGAAGTCCAAGGAAGCAAAAAACAAGCGCACACACACACACACACACACACACACACGAGCCTGATTTATCTCAATCTTGTTCAGGAACGAAACGGCTTTTTAAAAATTATTATTCCTACACTGATGTTAGAAATGAAATCTTCAAGAAAAATGACTTCTGGGCAGTGGAAATTCAGGTCCCAAGAGAGGAAGAAAATGAGATTTCTGTGCTGAGGGCTGAAGCCACCAAGATTGTGATATCTGATTGGCCAGTGTGTTATGTTTTGAGTGAGGCCTGACGAGAGCTGTATGTGAAACCATCATGTGATTCCATGGAAGATACCTCTCTTATTTCTTACTACGTGATTTCCAAAGGAATTGGGCCTCTTCTCAAAAATAACATGCTTCATATGAAATACAGATTCACTGGGACTTGGGAAAGTTATTTATGATCTTGGGTTTATGGCTTTAATAACTGATTCTCCAAGAGGGTGTCTGAAGAAGGAAAGCCCTATGGCTGAGGGCCAGCAAATTACACACCATGATGGAGGAGGAGGCCGCCGGTTCCTCTCTCATAGAGAGAGGGCTTGCCCTTACAGATGGCCTGAGCAACCAGCTTGTGTGCAGCCCCATGTTAAGTACTAAGTGTAGGCATACGAGACAGAGGTCCTAATCTTAAGGCCTTATAATAAAATTGCTATGACATGAGAACATCATGTCCATTTAAATTAGTATTTAATTCATACCATAAGAATTCAGTTCTCAGGAGGCTGAGAGCCTCAGAAAGATCTGGATTTAGACAGGGTATTTTGGGCAGGATGCTGAAGGTTGGATTTGTTTGTTAGGAATCTAGAACAGAATTAAGGAAAGCATTAGAATAAACAATATGAAGGAAAAAACAGATGGGAGAGTTCAAGTCATTTTTAAGCATAAAAAGGAGACAGCATGGGTTTGATGGGAAAGATTTAGAGTAGGTCAGTAGGAATTAAGGGTGAAAGGGTAGGTTTGCTAATTTTATTCTGCTTCAATGTTTCTGTTTTAAAAATTCATTGATAGTAGCAGTCTATATCTTTATTCATAATTATTGAGAATCTATCTCAAAAATATCAGAATTTATTCTACTTCCAGTGTGTATGCATGTGCAACATACATTGTGTGTATCCGTGAGCAGGTGTCAAGGGTCTGGTGTGTGATGTGTATTTGAGGGCATGGTAGGATGCAGCAATGTGACGTGTTCTGTGTGGATATGTATGTTTTATATGGAGGGGCCTTAGCTAAGCTGAACAGAAATGTGGCAGAATCTTCCATGTCACCAAGCTCTACCCAGTGGACTTAAAAGGCAGCCCAGTGTTTGAGAGAAGGACCCCCACTCCCCCCGACACCACCACAATATATGCCTTCTCAGGAGACAGCCTACCTTTGTTGAAAGACTATTTGGGAAACAATCAACTTTGGTAGGAAGGACATCCTAGCTTTATCCCACACTACAGTATAAATGATTTTATATTTCTGCTAAAATCAGAAACCAGAAGCAGGAGCCTAGTGATCTGACCCAATTATTTTGTTTTAAAGCTGTATACAATGGCACTAATGGCAAATTCAGGCAGTAACAATACAAAGACAGATCTAAGCTATGCTTTTGGACTCAGAGATTATCACACATTGTCCCTGCTCCTAGAGAACTTACTGACCAGTGGAGCAGACAAAACGAGCTCTAGTAAAATGCAGGAGGTGAGTAAAGGTGGAGATGGAGGTATAAGCTATATTCTGCAGGAATACAGAGAAAGACATAGGCTGGAGTCATAGGGAAAGTAATGTAAAATTTCTCAGCTGTGTTTGTAGGTTGAGTGGGGTGTTAAAGTTAGGAAAGATGTGGTAGGAAGGAAGATATTTCCAGCTCAAGGAACAGCATGAGCTGAGGTACAGAGTTCACAGGAAATGTGGAGGATTTGATGTAATCCAGGGCAATGAGGCGATGGGTGCATGGGACAGAGGTCAGCTGGGACAGCAGTGGGGCCACAGAGGTAGTTCAGGTTTGGCTTTTGGAAGACTTTTGGGGGTTGTCATAACTGGTATCCTCTGTCATATGGATCCTGGCCAAGAAGATGTAGTTGCTTGTACAATAAATATGAGGGAATTATAACATATAAACCAGGCAAATTGGATGTTGCCTCTTTTTAATTTTTCTACTGTTATTCCGTATGCTTAGCAAAGTCTTGTTTAAATCTTGAATATCAGCCATGCTATTAGAAAGTAAAGAAGGGTATGTGAGTCATGATCCTTCTTTCAGCAAATGCCAAAACTCTAACTCACCCCATAAATGGAAAATTCGGAGATGGGGCTGAAGGCACCGCTGGATCCAGAGGCTTTAACTAAGTTATTAAAATCTGTTTTAATAACTTTTTTATTAAATTATAAATAATTTTATAGTTATTGATATGGTTCAGCTGGTCCCCACCCAAATCTCATCTTGAGTTGTAGCTCTCATAATTCCCACCTGTTGTGGGAGGGACCCAGTGGGAGATAATTGAACCATGGGGACAATTTCCCCAATACTATTCTCATGGTAGTGAATAAGTCTCACGAGATCTGATGGTTTTATAAGGGGAAACCCCTTTCACTTGACTCTCATTCTGTCTTGTCTACTGTGATGTAAGATGTGCCTCTTGCCTCCTGCCATGATTGTAAGGCCTGATGAGCCATGTGAAACTATGAGTCCATTAAACCTCTCTTTCTTTACAAATTACCCAGTCTCTGGTATGTCTTTATCAGCAACGTGAAAATGGACTAATACACTTATGTATTTGTTTATTTTTACTTTATCCAGCAATTTTTCTTTTTATATTACTAAAGACAATAATCATAGAAGCGCTTAGAGAAAAAGTCGTATTTAGCTTTCAAGCCATTTAGGACAATGGCAGTTTCCAAGTGGTATGACCATGCTTCTCCCTTGAAAGCAGTAAGTTACTTAGAGAATACCTTAGAAAATGTTTGGATATTCCCTATAGGAACATTGTTCTTATAGGAAGAAGACCTTGCACACTGACTCCTAGCAGTATACGGCACTCTTTCCTAACAGACCACCCCCTTAGTATAGCAAGAGGGTTTTGTATAATGTGATCTAATTCACATCACAGTTTTCAGTAGTATGACTGTGTTATTATTGAATTATTAAAGGAAATATAGTGGTCTTGGTAAAAGATACTTTAAGCAAATACATGGAAGGTAGATTGCTGATTTAACAGAACAAAAATTAGTGTCTATATTATGACCTCAGACCAGCTAAGGACTCTAGAGAACAATGAACACCCCTAAGTAATCTTTCCTAGAATGTCTGGGAGATATCCAGGCTTCGGTGTCATGAGGTTAGAACAGAAAGCTTGTGTCATGAGGTTAGAACAGAAAGCTTGGCCGATGTTCTGAATTCATATTGATGGATTGTGAATGGCATGTTCTCCACAGAGACCTTCTTTGTAATTAAATAATCTTCTCTTTCTATTCTTGTATCTTCAAGAGATCATTGAGTAATTTACTCCCATGGACTCAATTGATCTTCAAGCTTTCTGGAGCAAATATTTTACATTTACTTGTGATTAATGTCCTTTTGTTCACACATTAAGGATGACATTTATTTATCTAAAATTTTTCCTCTCTTTTATGTAAATGTAGAAGTGCAGCCTCCTTGACTAGACAATCGCACATCTGAAAATTCTTTGTTTTGTTTTGTTAGAGACAGGCTTTCACTCTGTTTCCCCATGCTGGAGTGCAGTAGTGGTATGATCATAGCTCACAGCAGCCTGGAACTCCTGGGCTAAAGCCATCCTTCTGCCTCAGCTTTCTGAGTAGTTGGGATTGCAGGTGTGTGCCACCACAACAGGCTAATTTTTAACACATTTTTGTAGAGATCGGGTCTCACAATGTTTCCCAGGCCAGTCTTGAGCTCCTGGCCTCAAGAAATCCTCCAGCCTTGACCTCCCAAAGCTCTGGTATTACAGGTGTGTGAGCCATTGCACTTGGCCCGGAACATTTTTGAAGGCCAAATAATTGGAAGCATTTCACAGCTCTGCCTCATAGGTTAAAATGCCCTTTTTATCTGGGCATGGATTTCATTATTGTCCTTAAATTTATAAACAATATGCAAGGCTGGCTGGCAAGGTGGCCAAATAGGAACAGCTCCAGTCTGGAGCTCCCAGCGAGATCAATGCTGAAAGCAGGTGATTTCTGCATTCCTAACTGAGGTAACTGGCTCATCTCACTGGGACTGGTTAGACAGTGGGTGCAGCCCACAGAGGGCAAGCAGAAGCAGGGTGGGGCATCACCTCACCTGGGAAGCGCAAAGGGTCGGGAAACTTCCTCCCCTAGTCAAGGGAAGCCATGAGGGACAACGCCGTGAGGAACAGTGCATTCCGGCCCAGATACTGTGCTTTTCCCATGGTCTTCACAACCCACAGGAAAGGAGATTCCCTCTGGTACCTACACCACCAGGGCCCTGGGTTTCAAGCACGAAACTGGACCACAGCTTGGGAAAGCCGCTGTAGCCAGACTGCCTCTCTAGATTCCTCCTCTTTGGGCAGGGCATCTCTGAAACAAAGGCAGCAGCCCCAGTCAGGGGCTTATAGATAAAACTCCCATCTCCCTGGGACAGAGCACCTGGGGGAACAGGGTACAGCTTCAGCAGACTTAAACATTTCTGCCTGCCAGCTGTGAAGAGTGCAGCGGATCTCCCAGCACAGCGCTCAAACTCTGCTAAGGGACAGACTGCCTCCTCAAGTGGGTCCCTGACCCCCATGCCTCCTGACTGGGAGACACCTCCCAGCAGGGGTCAACAGGCACCTCATACAGGAGAGCTCCAACTGGCATCTGGTGGGTGCCCCTCTGGGATGAAGCTTCCAGAGGAAGGAACAGTCAGCAATCTCTGCTGTTCTGCAGCCTCTACTGGTAATACCCAGGCAAACAGGGTCTGGAGTGGACCTCCAGCAAACTCCAGCAGACCTGCATCAGAGGGGACTGTTAGAAGGAACACTAACAAACAGAAAAGAATAGTATCAACATCAATAAAACGGACCTCCACACCAAAACCCCATCCGAAGGTCACCAACATCAAAGACCAAAGGTAGGTAAACACATGAAGATGGAGAGAAATCAGCGCAAAAAGGCTGAAAATTGCAAAAACCAGAATGCCTCTTCTCCTTCAAAGGATTACAACTCCTCCCCAGCAAGGGAACAAAACTGGATGGAGAATGAGTTTAATGAATTGATAGAAGTGGGCTTCAGAAGGTAGGTAATAATGAACTCCTCCAACATAAAGGAGAATGTTCTAACCCAATGCAAGGAAGCTAACAACCTTGAAAAAAGGTTAGACAAATTGCTAACTAAAATAACCAGTTTAGAGAAGAACACAAATGACCTGATAAAGCTGAAAAACACATCATGAGAACTTCGTGAAGCATACACAAGTATCAATAGCCAAATCGACCAAGCGGAAGAAAGGATATCAGAGATTGAAGATCAACTTAATGAAATAAAGCGTGAAGGCAAGATTAGAGAAAAAAGAATGAAAAGGAATCAACAAAGCCTCCAAGAAATATGGGACTATACGGAAAGACCAAACCTATGTTTGATTGGTGTACCTGAAAGTGATGGGGAGAATGGAACCAAGTTGGAAAACACTTTTCAGGATATTATCCAGGAGGACTTCCCCAATGTAGCAAGACAGGCCAATATTCAAATTCAGAAAATACAGAAAACACCACAAAGATACTCCTCGAGAAGAGCAACCCCAAGACAGATAATCATCAGATTCACCAAGGTTGAAATGAAGGAGAAAATGTTAAGGGCAGCCAGAGAGAAAGGTTGGATTACCCACAAAGTGAATCCCATCAGACTAACAGCAGGTCTCTCTGCAGAAACCCTACAAGCCAGAAGAGAGTGGGGGCCAATATTCAACATTCTTAAAAAAAAGAATTTTCAACCCAGAATTTCATATCCAGCCAAACTAAGCATCATAAGTGAAGGAGAAATAAAACCCTTTACAGACAAGCAAATGCTGAGAGATTTTGTCACCACCAGGCCTGCCTTACAAGAGCTCCTGAAGAAAGCACTAAACATGGAAAGGAACAACTGGTACCAGCAACTGCAAAAACATACCAAATTGTAAAGACCATCATCCCTATGAAGAAAGTGCATCAACTAATGGGCAAAATAACCAAATAGCATCATAATGACAGGATCAAATTTATACATAACAATATTAACCTTAAATGTAAATGGGATAAATGCCCCAATTAAAAGACACAGACTGGCGAATTGGATAAAGATTCAAGACCCATTGGTGTGCTGTATTCAGCAGAACCATCTCACGTGCAAAAACACATATAGGCTCAAAATAAAGGGATGGAGGAATATTTACCAAGGAAATAGAAAGCAAAAAAATGCAGGGGTTGCATTCCTAATCTCTGATAAAACAGACTTTAAACCAACAAAGATCAAAAGAGACAAAGAAGGGCATTACATAATGGTAAAGAGATCAATGCAACAAGAAGAGCTAACTATCCTAAATATATATGCACCCAATACAGGAGAACCCAGATTCATAAAGCAAGTTCTCAGAGACCTACAAAGAGACTTAGACTCCAACACAATAATAGTGGGAGACTTTAACACCACACTGTCAATATTAGATCAATGAGACAGAAAATTAACAAGGATATTCAGGGCTTGAACTCAGCTCTGGACCAAACAAACCTCTTTAATTCTTTTTTCTACAGAACTCTCCACCCCAAATCAACAGAATATACATTCTTCTCAGCACCACATGGCACTTATTCTAAAATTGACCACATAATTGGAAGTAAAATGCTCCTCAGCAAAGGCAAAAGAAAAGAAATCATAACAAACAGTCTCTCAAATCACAGTGCAATCAAATTAGAACTTATGATTAAGAAACTCACTCAAAACCATACAACTACATGGAAATTGAACAAGCTGCTCCTGAATGACTACTGGGTAAATAACGAAATTAAGGCAGAAATATATAAGTTGTTTGAAACCAATGAGAACAGAGACACAATGTAACAGAATCTCTGGGACACAGCTAAAGCAGTGTTTAAAGGGAAATTTATATCACTAAATGCCCACAAGAGAAAGCAGGAAACATCCAAAATCGACACCCTAACATCACGATTAAAAGAACTGGAGAAGCAAGAGCAAACAGATTCAAAAGCTAGCAGAAGACAAGAAATAACTAAGATCAGAGCAGAACTGAAGGAGATAGAGATATGAAAAACCCTTCAAAAAAATCAATGAATCCAGGAGCTGGTTTTTTGAAAAGATCAACAAAATTGATAGACCACTAGCAAGACTAATAAAGAAGAAAAGAGAGAGGAATCAAATAGACACAATAAAAAAATGATAAAGGGAATATCACCACTGATTCCGCAGAAATACAAACTACCATCAGATAATACTATAAACACCTCTATGCAAATAAACTAGAATAGTAGAAGAAATGGATAAATTCCTGGACACATACGCCTTCCCAAGTCTAAACCAGGGAGAAGTCGAATCCCTGAATAGACCAGCAACAAGTTCTCAAATTGAGGCAGTAATTAATAGCCTACCAACCAAAAAAAATTCCAGGACCAGATGGATTCACAGCCGAATTCTACCAGAGGTACGAAGAGGAGCTGGTAGCATGCCTTCTGAAACTATTCCAAACAATAGAAAAAGAGAGAATCCTCCCTAACTCATTTTATGAGGCTAGCACCATCCTGATACCAAAACCTGGCAGAGACTCAACAAAAAAAGAAAATTTCAGGCCAATATCCCTGATGAACATTGATGCAAAAATCCTCAATAAAATACCGGCAAACTGAATCCAGCAGCACATTAAAAAGCTTATCCACCACTATCAAGTCAGCTTCATCCCTGGGATGCAAGGCTGGTTCAATATATGCAAATCAATCAATGTAATCCATCACATAAACAGAACCAATGACAAAAAACACATGATTTTCTCAATAGATGCAGAAAAGTCCTTCAACAAAATTCAACATCCCTTCATACTAAAAACTCTCAATAAACTAAGTATTGATGGAATGTATCTCAAAATAACAAGGGGTATTTATGACAAACCCACAGCCAATATCATACTAAATAGGCAAGAGCTGGAAGCATTCCCTTTGAAAACTGGCACAAAACAAGGATGCCCTCTCTCACCACTCCTATTCAATATAGTACTGGAATTTCTGCCCAGGGCAATCAGGCAGGAGAAAGAAATAAAGGGTATTCAATTAGGAAAAGAGGAAGTCAAATTGTCTCTGTTTGAAGATGACATCATTGTATATTTAGAAAACCCCATCGTCTTAGCCCAAAATCTCCTTAAGCTGATAAGCAACTTCAGCAAGGCCTCAGGATACAAAATCAATGTGAAAAAATCACAAGCATTCCTCTACCCCAGTAACAGACAAACAGAGAGTCAAATCATAAGTGAACTCCCATTCACAATTGCCACGAAGAGAATTAAATACCTAGGTATACAACTTACAAGGATTGTGAAGGACCTCCTCAAGGAGAATTACAAACCACTGCTCAAGGAAATAAGAGAGGACACAAACAAATGGAAGAATATTCCATGCTCATGCATAGGAAGAATCAATATCATGAAAATGGCCATACTGCCCAAAGTAATTTACAGTTTCAATGCTACCCTCATCAAGCTATCAATGACTTTCTTCACAGAATCAGAAAAAACTACTTTAAATTTCATATGGAACCAAACAAAGAGCCCGCATAGCCAAGACAATCCTAAGCAAAAAGAACAAAGCTGGAGGCATCATGCTACCTGACTTCAAACTATATTACAAGGCTACAGTAACAAAAACAGCATGGGGTACTTGTACAAAACAGATATATAGACCAATGGAACAGAACAGAGGCCTCAGAAATAATACCACACATCTACAACCATCTGATCTTTGACAAACCTGATAAAAACAAGCAATGGGGAAAGGATTCCCTATTTAACAAATGGTGTTGGGAAAACTGGCTAGCCATATGCAGAAAACTGAAACTGGACCCCTTCCTTACACCTTATACAAAAATTAACTCAAGGTGGATTAAAGACTGAGATGTAAGACCTAAAACCCTAGAAGAAAACCTAGGCAATACCATTCAGGACATAGGCATGGGCAAAGACTTCATGACTAAAACAAAAAGCAATGGCAACAAAACCCAAAATTGACAAATGGGATCTAATTAAACTAAAGAGCTTCTGCACAGCAAAAGAGACTATCAGAGTGAACAGGCAACCTACAGAATGGGAGCAAATTTTTGTAATCTATCCATCTGACAAAGGGCTAATATCCAGAATCTACAAAGAACTTGAGCAAAGTAACAAGAAAAAAACAAACAACCCCATCAAAAAGTGGGGGAAGGATATGAACAGACACTTCTCAAAAGAATACATTTATGCAGCCAACAAACATATGAAAAAAGCTCATCATCACTAGATTAGATTACAGAGTCATTAGAGAAATGCAAATCAAAACCACAATGAGATACCATCTCATGCCAGTTAGAAAGGTGATCATTAAAAAGTCAGGAAACAACAGATGCTGGAGAGGATGTGGAGAAATAGGAATACTTTTACATTGTTGGTGGGAGTAGAAATTAGTTCAACCATTGTGGAAGACAGTGTGGCAATTCCTCAAGGATCTAGAACCAGAAATGCCATTTGACCCAGCAATCCCATTAACGAGTATATACCCAAAGGATTATAAATCATTCTACTATAAAGACACATGCACACGTATGTTTATTGTGTCACTGTTCACAATAGCAAAGACTTGGAACCAACCCAAATGCTCATCAATGATAGACTGGATAAATAAAATGTGGCCCATATATACCATGGAGTACTATGCAGCCATAAAAAAGGATGAGTTCATGTCCTTTGCAGGGACATCGACGAAGCTGGAAACCATCATTCTCAGCAAACTAACACAAGAATAGAAAACCAAACACTACATGTTCTGATAAGTGGGAGTTGAACAATGAGAACACATGGACACAGGGAGGGGAACATCACACGCTAAGGCCTGTCATGGGTTGGGGGCTAGGGGAGGGATAGCATTAGGAGAAATACCTAATGTAGATGATGGGTTGATGGGTGCAGCAAACCACCATGGCACATGTATACCTATGTAACAAACCTGCACGTTATGCACATGTATCCCAGAACTTGAAGTAAAAGAAAAAAATTTAAAAATTTTATAAAAAATATGCTCTGAGAAGTGTATTTTTAAGAAGTGTATTCCTCTCATATTTTCCAATTTTAGATGAAACAAAAATTAAGAGGTATCTTACAATAACATGTGTTTTGGTCCAATGAATTATCAAAAGCTCAGCACACTTTAGTCAAGACCCTCCGTTTTCTTTGATTCAAAGCATATCCTTACTGAATGAATCATAAAAACAGGCTCATTAGTGTCTTTCTATCTAGTTATTTTTAATGCAAAGTGCTCTTAACATTGAGAACTAATACATATTTAATCTCTTACCAGTGGTAATTGTGAATCTAATTTTTAAATTTTTTTATTCAATGTGTTATTTAAAACAATTTCTTTCTAGATCAGTAAAGACATTGCTTTAGATAACTTTACATATGCAAACTTTTGCACAAGATTGTCTTTGATTATAATAAAATGCTCTGGAAACTTGCTACTCAAAAAATGGCTTAAAGACCAGGAGCATCAGCATCATTTGATGTCTTGTTAGAAATATAGAATCCCAGGCTTATCTCCAGAAATCAAAATCTGCATTTTAATAAGATCCCTGGATGACATATATGCACATGAAAATTCTACAACCACTTCTTTACAGCACCTTCTCTCCTGTGTCAAATACTACAAAACTGCAATGTAGAGATTCAAAAGAATGAAAGGAAACATAAAAGGTTTGAGATTTGGAATTGGGAAGAACTAGGTTCAAATCCTCGCTCAGTGGCTTTGAGTAAGTTACTGAGCCTCTTTGATATAAATTAACATTAACCAATTTCTGGAGCATACCAGGTGCTTAGTTAATGTTAGCTTTGTTTTTCCTCATTCTCACTTAAATCTAGGAACACTAATCCATTGGGCCTTGGATTATATGGTCTACACAATGTTTAGCAGTTAGTTAATAGTATTTATTATGAGCAGATAAACAAGGATTTGGTGTAACAAGCTACTAAGATTATAGGGTTAATTTGTCATTGCAGCGTAACTTAATCTGATATTGTTAGCACAAAATTGCTACCAAGAGTGAGGATCAGCCAAAAAAAAAAATAGTAAATTATGTAGCACTGGCTTACATGTCAGATGGTAGGCAGAGGCTCCTGAGGATAATATTCAAGGTGGAGGAAAATGGAGATTCACGGCATGCAGTGCAAAAATGTTTGGTAAAATAATTACCAATAGTGGTGTGGGAGGGAGATCAGAAATTTAATGAAGTTATGACTCTAGGAGATGGGGTGAGAAATGAGGATGTTAATAGTGTGCTGATAGTTGTGGCATTTAGCAAAGTATTTTAATAAAGAGATGAGCTCAGGAAATAATTGGCTGATTGAAATGAAAGAATAATGGGAAGAAAAGTCTGAGAAAGACCCTCAGCTCCCAAAGAGGGTATGCCACCCCATGCTTATATCAGAAGTAGCTGAGAAGGATAATAACGGGAAAACAAAGAACTAGCCAGAGGGCAGATCCATGGGCCTAAAAGAATAAATTAGGAAGCTGCTTCCAGAGAGCAAAATCAGGGCCTAATAAAGGAACAGTCTCCTTCCTCGGGTTAGGGGAACCCAGAGTATCTCCCAGATCTCAGAATTGTCCTTTCAGTTACTGATGAGTGGTCTCATTTTCCCTTCACCTGCATGGTGTATTTCTTATGATGATCTTATTTCATTATAGTATATGCCCCTGTTTCATTCTTGCATGTTTCCTTTTTAGGATATGAATCTTTGGAATGAGAGGAAAAAATTCCCAAACCTAATGCATGGGCTACCATTCATGCCCCCAATATCCTGGATGTTGACCTACTTGTGATGAATGGAGGAGACTTTGCATTTGCTATTGTGATTTCTATTGTGAACAATAGGTGTTTAATGTGTGGGGAAAAAAAGTGAGGCAATCATTCAATGACCAAAAGGGCAGATGTTGTTGACAATGCTAGTATTCACCATTTTTTTTTCCTTTCAAGTGCACAAGGAATTGCATTTATACTCTCACAACTGAGCAGGGCCATGGGACTGGTTCTGACCAAAGAAATATGAGCAGAAATAACAAGTGTCATTTCTTGGCTGAAACAGTGAAAAGCCCTTGTGAAACTATTTAATCTCTCTCCTTTGCTGCCACAAAGACCAGAGAAGGGAGCCTCGTTCTGCCCGGGTCCTTGAGCTGGTTAGAATCCATCTCTGACTTGTGTCGGACATGATGTGTAAGCAGATAAACATATTAATTCCTGAGACTTCTGGGATTAGTTTGTTACTACTGCACAATTTAATATGATTTTCATAAGCACAATGACCACTCCACAGAATCTTACAAAGTGTAATTACTCACCCAACTCAGGCTAAGCTATCAAAACTCCTAATAGATTATATTCTTTTCTTCTAGGTCCCTCCGCCTTTCAGATTTGCTTGTGGCACCACAGGCTACAGAGACTGCCACTGAGCATGAAGGATTGGCTTTACTTTCCCAGCTCTCTTCGATTTAACAAATCCAATCTGTTGTGCTAATTTTAAATCAAGAGATGCTGCAATATGAGTCATTAGGTTGTAATTGAGATATATCAACCAGGATTTGCCAAAACTGAGAAAACTGGGCCGACTGAAACATAATTCTTTGGCAGGAACAAAGTAAATACCACTCTAATCAGAGCGGACAACAAATACCACATATTTGCTCCCTGGCAATAGAGGTGACATGGATGGCAGGCAGGGGGCCTCAGAGTGCAGTGAGGTGGCCCTGTCAGCAAGGTGGGTGACTGGGGCACTTAGAATGAAGGAGTGATTTTGAAAATAAAGGAAAACAAACTCTGGGACAACTCCATCAGCCCATCAGTTGAGCAATCACTTAATGGGCATGTATTTATTACCTGTTATGTGTCAGCGTTAGCAATATCAGTGGACAGGGAAACATGATGTAAAGTTGTAAGGATGTTTTCAGACTGAATCACAGTCCATTTTCAACCAGAGGACAGAATTGTCTGCAAAGACCTCCTTGATTATTTATTCAAAGAATGGCAAATTTCTCTAGGGAAAAGAAATGAGATAGTTCCCTTCCAAGCTCACAGCTCACACAGCCCAAACGTTCTAAAGGCGACTTCAAGAACCTATTAGAGGAAAAAAGAACAAAAGAATGGGGTTCAATGCTTGCATTGTAAATATATTAGCAAAGGTCTGGACTTGCTTTACTCAGTAACCATCCAACTGGCAAAAGTCCGTGTGAAAGTGTGGTGACTTCAAGCTCTGCTTCCATGTCCAAGACCCAAAGTAAACTGAAAAGTAGAGGCTCGCTGCATCAACGTCAATGGACTAATATTATAACAGACGCAGGGCAGCTGTGATGCTGTTCCCTAGAGTTTTGTACCACATTGTGGCCCATCCCTTTTGAGACTGGGATACCATCCTAGGAAAACATCTTGCTTAGAGCAGTCCCAGGCTGGCTGAAGTCATTTCTACTTTTTCTTCTGCAGACTCTGAATATCCACCCACACATCAGCCCTTACTGAGCACCAGCTAAGGGCCCATCTCTGCTCCAGGTTGTAGAGAAGGACACCAACTTCTTGCTCCATGGGGCAAATGAGGAGAAGAGTTCTAAGTAGACATACAACCTTCAGGGACCATGGGAAAATAGAGTAGCGTAAGTGAGAAGTTTGCTAGTACAACTCATATTTCCGAAGCCACAGCCTGTTGATATCAGTTTCTTTGCTTTAATTTCATGTCTCCTCATTCTGGACGTGCTAGTATCTAAGTATGAATTGCCTTCCCCCCATTCTCTGTATTGAATCCTCACCTGTCATTCATTGTCCCACTCAATGCCACCTCTTCTATGACAGTTTCCTTCATTTTCCTAGTCAGAACTATCTGACCCTTTTCCTTCCCTCCTTCTGCTTTTTACTTGTTTTGTGTACCTCTAACTTCATTAGAATGTGAGCTTCTTTGGAGAGCACTCTCTGGGGTCCATGTTTCTATCACTGCTGTGTCTAAATGGTATTAATCAGAGCTCATTTGATGTGTTCAGTGCACTGTTGCCACCCTGGGCTGTCACCAGGAGATGCTCCCTACTGCCTGTGAAGTGGAGCCTCCCCTGACTGCACCTGGTACACAGGGCCCTTCATGCACGTGCTTTTCTAGGTCTGCATACTCTGCTTTATCTCTCTGCATATGCACACCTTCTTGTGGTGCCCTGCTGTCATTCATACCTGGTTATGATTTATGATGGTAAGTTGACCACCCAAAGATTTTAATTACATCCTTCCATAAACTTAAAAAAAATGCATAGGGTCCAGGGCTAAGTTTTATATGGCACCTGTTTACTCCTCCATTAGAAATCAAGGCAGTTCACTGTGACCATTTCAATGTAAAGTGCATGAGAGACTGAAGGATAAGTGATGAGTAGAGATAGAAACACAGGCAGCTGGATAATATGTATGAAGAAGCTAGTCCTCCTGGCCATGCCCTCCCCAAACCATCCTGTCTGCTGCCCTGGGCTGTCTCCTAGCAGGCAATCAGAGGAAAGTTTCCTCCAAGTCTCCTCTCCAATTATTCCTGCTTGGTATTCCTCCTTGGTGAGAATAACCCACAGATTATTCTCATATTTCCTACCTAGAAGATAGGCTGACACCAACCAAGTCACAATGTACTGTCAATTTACCCTGCCCTCCCCATGGGACTCCTGACATGCAGATCATGAGTAAATCAACTGTTTGTCAAACCAAGCAGTGGCCTGGCATGAAAGTCATCAATAGCAACAACATTCCCTGCTGACACCAACTCACCCAGGCCACGCCCGCAATAAGTGTTGAACAAACATGGAAAAGATATTGGTCTGATGGGGAGCCAAACTATTGGTTTGTCTGGAGAACCCATGCATCTTGATCTGGCCCTGGATCAAGGCTCCTTTGATTTAAAGGATCCAAAAGGCCACAAGTGGCCGACTGCTCCTCGATGCCCTGTTCTCTACCCCTCATACAGTTATTTCTCTTGCCTCTTCTCACTCCCTCTGACTGCCTCCAGACCCCTCCCCTTGCTGCCTTTCTCCCCTCTCTTCTTCTCCAGCTGGTGGATTCTGACTTGAAAGCACATGGTGGCTCCCAGTTTCAGAAGGGTTGCCATTCTCAGCCACCTTGACCTGTCATTAAGAAGCACAGGTAATCTGGTGAAACAACCTTGTAGTGAAACTAGTGATTTTTATATTCTTAGTTGTGGTCAACAAATTATTTACTGCATTTTTATAATGTTCCAGGCACTATTATGCCTTTTTGAAAACTATACCCTTATTTCTGGACCTGGGCTCTCTCACTTTGTTTCTACAGTTTCATTAAAAAAGTATTGATTGACTGCCTGTTTCATGCCTGGGTTTGTTATTGTTTCATATCACCCTACATTTCATTCCATGTCTAAGGTAAAATCAACCTCAGTTTACAGAACTAATTTATGGAATCAGTCTATTAGAAACAGATTCTATTACTGAAAATTATTTCAGGTGGAAGCAACAGAAACCTAATTCAACCAACTGAAGTTAAAAAAAATAATTAAAGGCAGGGGATATAGTGGGAGAATTCTGGAGTGGATTTTAGACTCAAAGGAAAAACTACTGGAATCTGGGAAGCTCAGTGAGCCCCTGGCCGGGACTCTGGACCCCAGCCATTGCTTCTCCTCTTCTCTGACCATTGGCTTCCTTGTCTCAGTCTCTTCTCTATGGTAAGAATTCTGGTTTCCAGCAGTTTTCAGTTCACACCCTGAGCCCACATTCAACAGGAAGGAGAGAACTGTGTCTTTAAATGTCAGTGTCCCATGCCCCACGGAAGGACTCTGATGGACTGGTTTCAGTCCCACGCCCACCTGAGCCACTTTGACCAGGAAGATGAGCACAGTAATTAGTCTGACCCGGTGCCCATGCCCACCCATATAGCAACAGAATGAGGTGGCAGGATGTATATGTGAGTCTCACCATTAGCTCATGTTTGCAGATGGAGAAGAGCAATAAGGTGGTTGGATCTCTAAGGGGATCCAGTAAGAATAAGAAGGGGGGAAATGTACGAGGTAGGCAAAAAATAACGTACATTCACTCTTTGTGTCAGTTCAGGTGCTCTGAGAAGCAGATACCAAAATGGAGCTTTGTGTGCATAAGATTTATTGGGGAAAACTCCTGTGAAGAAAAAAGGGAAAAGGAGCAGGAACAGGCAGGGGGAGTCTGCGGAGTGGGATGCAAATCTGATACCTGAAAAGGGAGAGTAGGGAGGAGGAGGAAGTGTGGTATAGGAAGAATTGAAGACTCCAGTGCAGTGCTGGAGTGCCAGCCAGACGACAGGGAGCCTGAGGGCACATTCTACTCATTAGAGAAGCCCTGTGTCGGGCAGGACTGCTGGGCTTGGCTCTTTAGCTCTGCTGTGCTCAGTCACTGGGAGCATCTCAGAAAGGATGTGGCCTTGGCAAGCATGCCACGGTGGGCATGGGGGTGCGGCAGCTTGGAGATATCAGCTTATCAATTCTTACCACAAATTTCCTCCTTAAGGAAGATCTGAGTGGCATGCTTCCATGGTTACCACACTGATCCCCAAAGAGGTCCAGGCATATGCTTAAGGCACATCACATGGTTAGGTCAGTGATGGAGCTGAGTCCTGAAGCCAGAATTTATAGTTTCTAGTCCCACAAACTTTCCACTGTGCCATACTTCCCCAAAGCAGATGCTCCTGTTTCCATGGGATCTTCTTTTTGTCTGGCCATGCTGCTTATATGCAGGAAAAAGAGCAAGTCTCATCCTAGGAAGGCTCACATTCTCAAGATACAGCCTGTTCAGGAGGCCAGAAGGGAAACTGGTCCAGCCAAAGCAGCAGGAACCATGAGAAGCCTCCCTTAGCTGGAAAGTGACATGTGAGCATGTTAAAAATATACCATTCTTTAGCTGGATGTCGCCATAAATCCTGAAATCTTGTCCAGCTAGAACAGACTATCCAGAGCCATAAAACAGTGACACAAACAACTCAATTCTGTTCTGTTTAAAAGTCCCTTAGGCATATTCTTCCTAAACACACAATCTTCCATCCAACTTGTCTCCACCTTGGAGTTAGATTTATAAACTTTAAATGACCAACTGGTTAGACAGCAGGAAATACATGAAGAATGACACAAGCACCTGTAGAGCTAAACATCCTGGTATTTGCCCCTTCACTGAACCAGGTGGGACTGTGTAGCAGTAGTCACACCCACCAGTGGGGCTGAGCCATAGCCCTGCCTCTGCCCACTAGCAGGAGCCAGCTGTCACATTGAGCATGGCAATGCACTGACAAGGAAAAACATCATTCTTTGTCATATGAGTTGGAATTCAAATTATAAGAAGAAATGCTACCATAGTGTCTGGCCAGTGTCCCTCATCTCTAAATATACCCGAGATCTGGAATTGTTCATGTACATAAATCATAGACTACTGAAGTAGCTCCTGATCCCTGAAATCACTTCAGTTCTCTGTTTTCCAACCATGGCCTTGTGGTGCTTTGAGCTAGTTTGTTGCCTGATGACCAAGGGTGAGGATGGGAAACGCTATCATGATAAAGAGAGTAAAAAGAAAGTGATGCTAGTACACACACAAACATATAGCTATAACACAAATATTACAGGGATATTCATCATTGATCCAGAAAACAATTATTTCCACATACCCAGATGTCCAGAAAATAGATGCTTTAAAAAACAAAAACGACGACAACAACAACAACAAAAAAAACAGGATGTCACTCTGTTGCCCAGGCTGGCCTGCTGTGGCACAATCACAGCTCACTGTAACCCTGGATCCTGGGCCCAAGTGATCCTCCTGCCTCAGCCTCCTGTGTAGCTGTACTACAGATGCATACCACCACATGTGGATGGTTTTTCTTACTTTTATTTTTTATTTGTAGAGATTGGCTCTACAAATGCTGCCCAGGCTTATCTTGAACTCCTGGTCTCAAGTGACCCTCCCTCTTTGCCTCCCAAAGTCCTGGGATTATAGGCGTGAACCACCATGCCTGGCCCTCTTGCATTACGTTGATTCCAAGTTAATGGTCAAATTAGAAATTTCCATTTAAAGGGGACCTTTAGGAACAGAACACCTTAGAGTACTCAGTGATAGCTGGCTGGCAGGCAAAGAAGGTGGAAGACAAGGTGAACTCAAACTCATACACAAGAGTTTAAGAAGCACTCAGATCTATTTATATAGAACAATAAACTTATTAAATTTATCTACAATAAATAGAATTTATTGTAGAACAAAGAGTCCTGAGCATTGTAATACTCCTTGGCACTTCTTATAGTGATGAAATGAATACTCTGAAATACCTACTATGAGAACCACTACTTCTAGTGATAATTACAATAGCTAAAGTGGGCAGAGTGCCTTCTATGTGACAAGTATCATTCTCTGAACATTCCATGTGCTACCTCATTTAATCCTCACAATTCTAAGGGTCAGGCATTATCATCCCCATTTTACCAATGGGGTAAGTGAGGCACAGATGGCTTAACTAATTTTCCAAGGCTACAGGATTACTGAAAGACTCTATTATATTCAACTAATCTTACTTCAGTTACAAATTAATTGTGCCAGTTATTTTAGATATTTGTCAGACCAAGATATTTTGAAATCATTCCTAACCTAACAGGCTGTAGTTCACTTTAACAAACATTTACTGAGTACATGCTTTGTGTCAATCATTGAGCCTGGTACCAGGGATCCAGAGACATGTAAGACTCAATTCTACTCTTCTTGTAGCTCATGATCTTGTGAGTGTCTCACGTGAGAAATCTGATTTGCTGACAATGCCAAGTTTTTCTGCCTAAGAGTGTGTGTGCGTGTGTGTGTGCACTAAAACTAACTCTTAGGTTAACTATTTTTTCTAAGGAAGGACACACAGGGTAAACAATTGTACTTGTTTGCATTTTTGTGTCTGTATAAGTTAATCCCACTTCATTTTATATAGCACTGTTTATTTTCTATAGCATTCAAATAAAATTTAAGAAAAAAAAAAGACGTTCAAGGAAGAAATGGGATAGCAAGCAACTTGAAGGGGGTCTCCAGTCCCACCACTGAGCAGACAGTGAGAAAGAGAAAGCCTGACACTGGCAAGACTGGAGTGTATGTGGCCTGGCCTGGAGCCTGGGTCCTAGCAGTTTATTCCTTTGGTAGGGACTTCTGCCATAGAGTAAACATCACGGAAAAAAGTAGAAGAGGCCATTTGAGCTAGAAGAAGAGGAAGAGTGAATTGTTTCCGCATTTCAGTACACATGCCTGGCAGATAAAAGCCACATCCCATGCACAGCCTGCAGCATGGGCAAGAAGAGCTTTTCATCTCAGCACAATGCTATTTCAAGGGCTAGAGCAAAGGTTTCTATCATGAGCCCATACTTCTGCCCAAGGGATCCATGAATAAAACTCAGTAGGTTCTTGGACTTGGGAGAGAAACAATACCTTTATTTTCTATAGTTTTAACTAAAATTTAGCATTTTCTCTCCTTATAAATGTAGACAATAAACCATGGGAGTATTAGCAGAACTTGTGACTTCTCACCAATAGGAGATATTACCCTATTGCATTACAATTGTTGCAGATATTTCAAAATATTTTAGCTTTATTGAGATATAATTGATATACAAAAATTGCACATGTCTTATGTATATATTTTGATGAGTTTAGGCATATTTTTACACCTGTGATGCCATAACCACAATCCAGGTATTAAACATATCCATCATTTCCAAAAATTTCCTTGTGTTGTTTTTGGTTTGTGGTGAGAATACAACATGGGATCTATCCTCCAATCCCACTTGTAGGTATATACCCGAAAGCGTTAGAATCAGGATCTCAAAGATACCTTTGCACTCCCATGTTCATTGCAGCATTATTCACACTAGTCAAGATAAGAAAACAACCAAACTACCCATAGAAAGATGAATGAACAAAGAAAATGTGGTATATAAACAAAATTTAATATTCTCCAGCTTAAAAAAATAAGAAAATCCTACTACTTGGGACACACATATGAACCCAGAGGACATTATGTGACATGAAATAAGCCAGTCACAGAAGGATAAATATTGCATGACTCCAGTTATATGAGATACCTAAAACTGTCAAACTCTTTGCAAAATCTCTAAACTGCTTTCCACAGTGGCTGAACTAATTTGTATTACCGCAAACCATATATAAGCATTCCCTTTTCTCTACAGCCTTGCCTGCATCTATTATTTTCGGACATTTTAATAATAGCTATTCTGACTTGTGTGAGATAGTATCTCACTGTGGTTTTGATTTGCATTTCTCTAATGATTAGTAATGTTAAGCATTTTTTCGTATTGATAGTCATGCATATGTCTTCTTTTTAGAATTGTCCATGTCCTTTGCCCATTTTTTAATGGGGCTGTTTGATTTTTTGCTTGTTGATTTGTTTAAGTTCCTGATAGATTCCGGATATTAGACTCTTGTCGGGTGCATAGCTTGCAAATATTTTCTCTTATCCTATAGGTTGTCTGTTTACTCTGTTGATAGTTTCTTTTGCTCTGCAGAAGCTCTTCATTTGATTTGGTCCCACTTGTCTATTTTGTTTTTGTTGCAATTGCGTTTGGAGACTTCCTCATGAAATCTGTGCCAAGGCCTATATCTGGAATGGTATGTCCTAGGTCTTTTAGGATTTTTAGAGTTTTAGGTCTTACATCTAAGTCTTTAATCTATCTTGAGTGGATTTTTGTGTATGGTGAAAGGTAGGGGTCTAGTTTCATTCTTCTGTCTGTGGCCAACCAGTTATCCCAACACCATTTATTGAATAGAGAGTTCTTTTCTCTTGCTTGTTATTATTGACTTTGTCACAGATCAGATGGCTGTAGGTGTGCAACTTTATATCTGGGTTCTCTAACTTGTTCTATTGGTCTATATGTCTGTTTTTGTACCAGTGTCATGCCATTTTGCTTACTGTAGCCTTGTAGTATAACTTGAAATCCAGTAGTGGAGATTTCTCAAAGAACTTAAAACAGAACTACCACTTGACCCAGCAATTCCATTACTGAGTATATATCCAAAGGAATATAAATAGTTCTACCAAAAAAAAAAACACATGCATGTGTATGTTTATCACAACACTACTCACAGTAGCAAAGACACAGAATTAACCTAGGTGTTAATCATCAACAGTGGAGTGGATGAAGAAAATGTGGTACATATACATTATGGAATAACATGCAGCCATAAAAAGAAATGAAATCATGTCCTTTGCAGCAACATGGACAGCAACTAAATAAGAAGCTCCCAGCATGTTTCTTAGGCATGCTAATGTAGAGTGACAAGGGAGATTAGATAACATCTTTATTGGGGAATAATATTACTAAAGAGAATGAGGAGAAAGAGCCAAAGCAAGAAACTTGCAAAGAGAATAGATAAAGAAATAGAAGGTTACAAGAATTAAGGAAGACGTTCCAAGAAGGGGGTAGTTGTCAAAGGCATTGAATGCCTCAGAGAGCGCAAATAAGATAATAAAGACAATCTGCACAGCTCTGAGACTTCAGGAAGCTGATCATTCCAGGCTGAGATGTGTATTTTGTCCTTTTTCAAAGAGGCCTGCTATGATCAAAGCTTTAGATCAATAATTATGTAGTAACATGGACATATTTTGAGTTTGAAAGGCTGCGCATATGGTGACCATTGACCAAGATGTCAGGAAGGAGGAGATACAGGCTTTGGGTGAAATGATAGAGCTGGTTTGGAATCCATTGTGTTTAAGGTATCTTTGAGATAATCAGGCATGGCTTTACAGAAATAATTAGTGCCCAGAAAGGAGGTTGAGTCTACAGTGTACAAATGAGGTTTCATCCTCCTGCATGTGGTATTGGGCTTCAAAGATGAATGAGATTGTCCAGAGAGAATGTGTGACTGGTGAAGAAATAGGAACCATTTGTGTGATTCAGACAAGAAATGTTTTTCATATGATCAGAGAAAAGGTCCAGGCTGATGGCCAGACAAAGGGACACAATGCAACAGTCACTGAGCTGGGCTGGAACTGTTGAAATCTCTGTTTGGGGTGTCTGTGGGTTTTGCACAACTCCTGCCTGCTTTGCCTGCCCTTAGTTACTTCACAGGATCCACTGGAGAGAGCTATGGGAAAAGTTGGCTTGGGTGTTACTCCCCCAGCCCCTCCCACTGATGGTTAGTTATTTCCCCCTTTGATTTCATTTCTTGGTAAAAGCCATCAGTTACACTTCAGGCAATCCCTGTAGTGTTATTTTGCTTCTTTTCTTGGCTCTTTTATCTCCAGATAAGAGACAGTACGTCCCCATAGACAATGGTGCTGCTTTTAGCCTCCCAGTGGACATCTCCCTTTCCACTAGCCCTGAGATGGAGACTTCAGGGAGAAGAAGAGAGTCTTGCACAATCATGATCAAATGTATGATTTATTTTAAGCTAACAAACAATTGTTCTGACTCCCTCAGGGGACAAATTCTAATATTTCCAAAAGAAAGTGGAGCCAGCACCACGGGCTGGCTCGTTGAGATGTACTGTAAATAGCTTCCAAATCGGGAGTAAAAAATGCAGCTCAGTTGGAAGGAGAGAAGACAAGGCCCAGAGAAATGGCCACGTTGGCTCATTATTTTTCTGAAGATGTCCATATTGGCACTGCTCAGCCCGATGTCGGCAGAACACATTTATTGCCTCACACAGCCAGCCTTTGTCATGTGGAATCAGTTGACATCTGGGGGCTGTTTCATGTTTCTCTTCTTCATCTGCCCTCACTCAAGTATTTGGAGACATCAGTTACTAAACCAAGCATGAAGAAAGCAATGCTAATTAGGTCATCCTCTATAGTGCAGTACACATGGTAAGGCTCTATTAAAATAAATAATGGAATAATTAATGAATTCATTAGCAAATTCATTTCCTGTCAGTTTGAGTCTCATCTGAGGGCTCGTTGCAGAGGTTGTTCCTAATTTCATTAAAGACAAGGACTTAAGCAGATCTGTGAAAATTTTCAGGATATCACATATTGGGGAAAATGATGATAGAATTTTTCTTTTACCCCTTTCTCATGTCATGGCAGGGATTGGGAGGGGAGCTGTTGTTAACCATCTCCTAATGTGAATATGTAAGGATGAGGGTTTGGCGGGTAGATGGATAGGTCTTCTAGCTAACAAAAGAGGAGGAAGGAGCATCCCAGGATGCTTCCCACGTAAGTCAAGAGCCAAGCACAATGGGGATCTGAATGGCAGCCAACATCAATTGTTGTATCATCTTGGCAATTCTTGGTGCAGAGACTTGTTTGTCCAAGGACTTGAAGTTTAAGGACAAGGCTGCAAACTCTAAAGGACTATGTCCATCATTAGCAACTATACAAGCTTAACCCTGAGTCAAATTTATTCCTGTCTTTGTGTCTGAATATAACCTCAGCTGGACCCTAATAGCTGTTTTTTACTCACACCTAGAAAATTACTCACTGAATTTTCCCCAACAGCTATTTAAAAGTGTCTCCATTCTTTCCAAATCCTTTACCAAACTCTGTCTTGATCATTTCCCAGAAGTATTTTAGATTGCCTTCTTTGCTAAGATTGAGGCCATCTGAGGATGAGGTCCTTTTCTCTCCACATAGCAGAAGAGAAGAAGTCTTTCTGCCGTCTCGCACCTTCCCTTCAACCTTAGAGAAAGTACTGCCCCTCCAAACCATGGTGACACAACCTCACTTATCCTCAGAATCCCCTCATTTCCACTTTCTCAGGGGCCTTACCCCAACAACTATTCCCCCCCTTTCTCCTTTTTCCTCTATCCTATATTAATCCAAATTTCTAAACATATTTATGCTGCTTTGACATTCTGGGGGGCCTAACTGGACAGGGAGAGACTGCCCCTCCCAGGGATAGCTAATCCCCAGAGACAATAAGCAACTGGCCTGCCAACACACCTCTCCCATGCAAACCAACCAGTCCTTAGAGGCCAGGCCCTTAACCTCCTTCTTTATCTAGCTTTCCCATACCAAACCAATATTTTCCCTGCCCTAAATCGACCCAGGAACCAACCATCCTATAGCCCAGAGCCTGCCGACATTATTCAAGAGCCAGTCCTAAGCTGTTTCCCTGCTCTGCTCGCCATTCCCACAGAAAACACAATAAAAGCACCGAGCCAAGCTTTCCCTGACAGTCCTGCCTTTGCTTCCTGACCAAACCTGGTGTGGGAACCGCGGCCCTATATGGTGTGGCCTGCTTCCTTCTCTTGAAAACCATAAGTAACAAACTTTTCTTTTAGTAGCAATGACCTCTCTGTGTCATCACTCAGTCGTCTCCATAGGCTAAAGCCTTGTGGGTGCATCTTAACACATCTCCCTCCCTCTTGTCTCCCTCTCTTTCTCCTTCTCTCTCTTCTTTTCTCTCAACCTCTTTGGTTCTTTCTCTTAATTTATTTTATATATTTCATTTGAAAATGTGATTGCTTTTGCAAAAAACAAACATTTAAAATTTTATTTCAAAATTGAAATAATATAGAAAATAGAATAATATTTTTAAATGCACCAGAAGATTTATGCTCCAGAGAAATACACTGATAATATTCTGGTGAACATCCCTCTAGACCTCTCTTTTGTATAGAAATATATATACACTGTATATATGTATGTATATATGTATATATTTCTAATAAATGGGATAATGCCACACGTCTCTCAAAAACATGTGGTTCATAGCTTTACATTTCAATAAATTGAGGTCTACTTCACTAGTTTTAGAAGCTAAAGATTTTAGGTGTAACAAAATGTACTTACCTAAATTATTCTATATTTTATTGTTATTTTTTATTAATTTAAGCAATAATGCAATAAACATATTCATTCATTCATATTTTCACATGTGTATATTTATCTTCTTAAATTCCCAAAAGTGAATTTGACAGGTCAAAGGGTATATTCCTTTTATATACTGATATGTATCCTAAAATTGAACACCAGAAAGACTATTGTATTTTGTATTTCATGTCCACTTCAATAGTTCATTCAAGTAATCGCTTCCCAACACTTCATAAAAATAGCATTTTCAATCTTCTTAATTAAGTTACCAAATACAGTTGGTTAAAAAACACCTCATTTTATTTGAATTTCTTAGTTAAGTTTTAATATGTTTTACTTTGTATATTGATCATTTCTATTTCTTATTTTATAAATTACTAATTCACATTATTTTTCTATTAGACTGTTTGTATTTTTAATTGTCATGTGAAAGTCTTAATGTACTCAGAAATTAACTATGGCAATCATATGACTGGCAAACATTCCCCTCTCTGTCATTTTTCTTTCAAACTTACTATCATTTGTTATATAAAAATTGTAACTTCTAATGCAGCCAAATTGATCAATATTTCCCTTTTTGGTTTCTAACTTTCTTGGAATTCTTATAATTTCTCCACTGCTACATTATAAAATATCTTCAGTGTTCCTATGGTTTCAAGTTTATGGTTAAGTCTTTGATCCATCTGGAGTTTAATCTGAGGCAATGGGTGAGTGCTGACTCTCTTTTCCTTTTTTCCTTCCTTTCCTTTTCAGGCACTGTGATTCTCCACCTTCAGAGTCATGTTGGCTCAAAACCTAAGGTCCATCTGAGATCCTTCCCTTCCATTTGTCCCACAGATCCAGGTAGTAACTTAACTGCAATGAACTTCCTAGGATTTTTCAGAGTTTATGAAGTGTTTTCACATATATTATCACAACCCTCCCCTCCTACCATACTTTCAATATCACACATACACAAACCTTGGCAACAGGGTTGAGAGGGAGGTCTGGACAAATTGTGAGTTACTCCAGGTAGCTCTAAGAGTGAGGAAAAAAATAAAGCTCATTTTAGAGTCTCTCTGACGCCAAAAGCCATACTCCTCTTATAACAACACATAACTTCTGAAGCCCGATCAATTCCTCTGTTGTACATCTACTCTATGCACCCCTTCTTCTCCAAACCAACTGCTCCAGTTGAAGTTTTATCATTGCTCAGCTGCATTTTTTTTTTCGGGATTCTCCACTGTCAGTTTATCCTACTCATGGTCTCAGACTAATCCTCCTAAATTATAGTTATGTTCACCTACTCAGAATCCTTCAGCCTCCTGAATCTGAGGGTCTTGCCTTGTACTGGGAACATTCAGGATGTGGCTTCAGCATGTCTTTCACCTTCTCCCGTTATTCCTCTACATGAACTGTGCCTTTTAGGGAAGCCGAAGATTTGCCAACACTCAAGCATGCCCCTTGCTATTCTATAGCCATGCCTTGTTTCCAGCCACTGCTTCCTTTTACAATCACCACTGCCTCTCCTTTCTTTCTTCCAACATCCTACCCTTTAAGACACAGCCCTAATTCTACATCCTTCATTACACCCTTCCTGGAAACTTCCAGTGAACATTTTATTCCTTTTCCCCTTTAACTTTCCACAGACCTTTCTCTGTGACTGTTTTATGATTCATAACTTTCTACTTTATAGTTCGTGCCAGTGTCTTACTTTCCTTATCAAACTGTCAACTTCTTGAGTTAACGGATTGCTGCTTCTTTATTTTTTTATCTCCCATTTCTCAATGCTTAGAACAATGACTGGCACAGGTAAATATTTGAAAAATAAAGTAATTAGTGAATAAATGTGTAAGTTAAAAAACGATGGAACAAAAAAATAAAATGAGTGGCTAACTTGATTCTTTGGGGAAGCGTCCATTTTCCAAAAGATTTTATGATTTTATCTCTGTTGCTTATTCCAGTACCACCAACACACACCCAGAAGGAGATCAAAGCCTGAAGTCCCACCAGTAGAATGTCATAGTTTCCATTTATTACTTTAATTTTTGCAAAATGTTGATGTCGCAAGGATCAATGGCCTACTTTTCTGAAAGAAATGCTCTGTCATCTATGATAAATAAAGGATCTGAAAAGGGAAAATTTTTCTTAAAGTTGCATATGGGATAGAACACATGCCACATACAGCTGCAGAAGTGGTAGCTTAAGGATAAAACAGGCCAATTGTGGGGAGTTGATCATTAAAATATGGACCCACCTGCCCTCAGAGGTCTACATATAAACCTTTCATCCTTGATGTCCTGCTCCCCACTCATGACACTCCAGCTACCTTTCCAGAGGAATGTGGCTCTGGGTCGACGGACTGCCCTGGAGACAGCAGAGTATGTGGCACATTCCAGCCAGCTCTCTGTCCAGGGAAGTCCTTCCTTGCCTGCTATAAGGAGAACATCTCTCAAAGAGCAGAAGCATAGTCACGTGACACATGGAAAGGACTGTAAGCTCAAAGGAAAACTGGTCAGTAACACCTTCTTGCCCCAAAGGCGAGGCATTACTTTAGAGAGGGCTGACTGCCAGTTTCTGAATAAATTGAATAAATCAGATTTCTGATGTTTAATAACAGATGTTCTGGCTACAACTCATGAAATCACTTAATATTACTTTATGCTGTGGTAATAAAAAAAAAAGTCATCTGGCTCCACTCGGCCCAGGTTACATATCTTCTCAAAGGGTCAAAATGATTTGATGCAGTTCTTGGATCAAAAGGACTAATGCTCCTGCGTGTTACAGGCTGCAGGCAGAGGTTGCTTCAAAAATGGGGCAGATGCTTTCCTAATACATGCGTTGCATCCAATGGCCTGAGATGTGCCTCTGACCCCCACAGACTTGCCCGAACTCAGGTCCTAGGAGAAGACGAATGCTCTCCAGGAGACTCACTTTTTCCACCCCTCCCAAATCTCACATCTGGCAGGGTGAACTTTTGAGAAAGGCTAAAATAGGCCGATTGACCCTGTTAGACGTGGCTGGCACGCTACCAGTGCTTTATCTCTACAGCCCTGAAGAGGAGCAAAAAAGTGGGAATGATTTGGCCTCTTGAACAAGCCTTGCAGATGAGTTTGGATTAATCTACTGAGGTAGGGAGCAAGGGAAAATGTGCCTGATGAAGCCTCATAATAAATCAAAGGGACTTGCAACATGGTTAGCTGGTGAAATTCCCAAGATGACTCAAATACTGAAATAACCAAGTTCATCAAGAAAAGTCTTCTAAAGAACATAACTAAAAAGTGAGGTGTTTCCTTATCCTCAGAAAAAATCTAAAATGAAAATTAAGCAAAGGCAAGTTCAGAGGGCTGAGAGAGATACTAGGATAACTGGAGCTTCATTTCATAAGCACATTGAAGGGCAATAAAAGGGAATCCATGGGGTACAAATAAAGGAACCATTGCTGCAGCTTCTCAAAGAGAGTCGTAATTCTTCCCCAGGAAATGATGTCGATACTTAGTAAAATAACAGGCAAATACTGAATAGCAACATAAATACCACAAAGGCTAATGAATTCTAGAGTGGTCACTGCGTGGACTCATAGAAACCTGGAGCCAAGAGTGCTAGGTAAACCTCATGGTTAAAATGTGTACAATAAGTAACAACTATATCCACACCAGTAAGGTTAAAAATGTCTGAGAATCAGAATGTCTGGCAAAGAAAGATTAGGAAGAATAGCCAATTCAACTCTCTTGATTACAAATTGAGACTCAGCAAGGAGAACCAGCTTACCAAGATCCTGGTGCTGGCCAATGGTAAAATGGGAAGTTAGATATAATCTAGTTTTATTTTCTCTGAGAGGCAGTATAATTTTATACTTTTCAACTTCAGTAAAATTTGCACATGTTAGACGAAATGCAACTGTACAACTTGTTCTGCTACTGTGAGCACATGATTTTGGAGTAAGAAAATCTATATATTTTTTACCTTCAGACATGCTATTTTGGAACTTGCAACCCAAGTTCTAACTGTCTTTGTGTCATTTTATCAAAAGCAAAGAGAGAGTTGAGCAACTTGTTTCAGAGAAGAACAAAAGTCAAGAAAGAAAACCACTATCTGAGACAGATGACTGAGAGTCAAGTTGAACTCGAGAATACTGAAAACTCCAGATACTCAAGGAAAAAAGAGAAAGGCAGGCCTATGTCTGTGAGAGGAAAGGGGATCTTACCGTGCTGAAAACCAACTTAAATCAAAATCCAATCTAATTGCAGGCATGTGACCTGATGATACCACCAATGTTATCATGATGGCATTTGTTGAATACTCACCATTTCTCGAGGACTCCAGTCAGCTCTAACACTCAGCAGCCTCTGCCTTCTACTCTTCTCTGAAATGACCAGAGACTAGGTGCAAGAAATAGTGCTGGGCACCAGTGCTGGTGAGCTAGGCTTGCATCTGTCTGGCTTTCCATATTCTAGGAGCTCAGAGCTGGAGGTGATGGGAGTGGGGTGGGCTGTGATACAAATTAGAAGACTATAAGGGCTGCCTCAGTTAGCACAGCAGGACTTTCAGAGGAGGTCAGAGCTGCTCCAGAGACTGGAACTTGGTGTTTGACAGAGGCTGATATAACTAATGTGCATTGACTTTGAAACAGAGTTCCCTGAATTAAAATTCTGGTTCTGCCACTAACTCCATATGAGGTCAAGGAAACTCCTTACTCTATTTCATTTACTTTAAAGCCACATTCTTTTCCCTATATTTTAAAATCTCTGAAATTCTGATATGCCTTATTAACAGTAGTAGCATCTTACAGTTATAATTGGCAGGCTTTTTTTTTTTTATTTCCTTAGGTGGCAGTACCATCTTAGTCAACTCAAGTTACTATAACAAAATGTCATAAACTGAAAGGCTTATAAACAGTAGGAATTTACTTTTCACAGTTCTGAGGGCTGGAATCTGAGATCAGGGTGTCCACATGGTTGGGTTCTTGTGAGGGCTCTACTCCAGATTGCACACAGCTGACTTCTGCTTGTATCCTTACATGATAGAAAGAGCACTAGCTAGCTCTCCAGCCTCTTCTTATAAGGGCACTAATCCCATTCATCAGGGCTACACCCTTTTGACCTAATTACCTGCTGGAGATTCCCACCTTCCACCAGATTGGGATTGGAATTTCAACATACGAATTTTTGGGGAAAACAAACATTCAGTCCATAGCACATGCCTTACAACTGTCAAATCCATTTAAGTTTAGCCTGAGGCTGCCTCCATAACTTGGTCCCTATATAACAAACTGCAATGTTATTTAGGAGTAAAACAAACAGCTCAGTTTCAGCCAATCACAGGCAGCCAACTCATCACACCATGCCCAAATAAGGCAGATACCTAGTAGTAACCAATCAAGTGATTTCTCTACTTGGCTTCTCTGTGTACCCTACAAAAGCTCCTGTTCACATTGCTGGGCAGAGGTCCCTCAACCTCTTCTGGTTCTGAGTGCTGCACGATTCATAAATCATTCTTTGCTCAAATAAAAGACTGCTAAATTTAATTTGCTAGCTGAGTGCAGTGGTTCACACCTGTAATCCTAACACTTTGGGAGGCTGAGGCGAGAGGATTACTTGAGGCCAGGAGTTTGAGAGCAGCCTGGGCAACACAGGGAGGCCCCATCTCTACAAAAAATATAAGAATTAGCCAGGTGTAGTGACACGTGGGGAGGATTGCTTGAGCCCGGGGGGTGGAAGCTGCAGTAAGCCATCATCATGGCACCAAATTCCATCCTGGGCGATAGAGTAAAACCCTGTCTCAAAGGAACATAAATGAATTTCATTTGCTAAATGTTTTCTATTAACACAACCAATGGCAATTTAGGTTTGGCAACATTATTGGTATTTATGATATTTTGTTTAGATGGACATATAGAAACCTGCTCAGAAATTTACTGCAAAGGTTAAATTAGATAACATTTTTAAAAACTTAGAAAAGTATCAGATATATAAGAATTGCCTCAAATGGTAAATGTAGATATTAAATAACTCCCCCTCTTGGCCACCTGACCCAGGCAGGATTGTCCCCAGTTCTTGGCTCACAAGGATTACCTGGGAAAGTAGAATAATAAAAATAGCGACTATTCACAATTGCTTATTTGTTGCCAGACAGTGCGCTCATTGACTTTATGAGCTTTATTCCACTTTCTCTTCACAAACCTCTTAGGATTCTATTATCTGCTTACCTGTCTAAGATCACACAGTTAATAGGAACACTCCATCTTGAATTGTTTCTTCATGACACCAAATTCATGCTTTTCACTATCAACTAGATGAGTACAAGTTGATTACTGCAAGCCCTGAAAACTCCAGGAATTATTCTATAGTCAGTATAGCAGACCTCTTCCTCTGGGCTCTACTATGTGTGGATAATGGACTTTTCTACCCAGCCTAGGAAACTGGATTAATATACTGGAGCAAAATCTCAGAAGCTGGTTGAGAACTACCCAGGTAATACAGCAAAGAATCTGCAAAGATGCCTAACTCTGACTCAACCCAAGATCATTCCTAGCTTCTGGTGCAAAGCTCCAACTATGACAACTTCAAGTAGAAGAAAAGGGGGGTGGGGAAACACCATCAGGGTCTTGTTACAACGGTTTGAACTCAAGCAATCTCACGATGGCTTCTCTGGGCCAAGGCCAACCGCAATGGTGTGTTCCTCACAAGTAGTCTTTTCCCATTTCTTGGACTCCCTGAGGTGTATTCAATAATGCACTCCTCATTCTGAAGCAGATGGAAAAGCGTTTAAAAAGGTGCCAGGTTTATTTATGGAAGCATGAGATTGAATTTAAGAGATGCTCTTTGCCAATATGAAATGTGAACTCTCAAAACAGGAAGTGTGCTTTACTGCCTATTTATTTTACTGCCGTATCAGCTGCCCAGAGCTGAAGAATCCTTCCTCTCAGGAATTATTTATTTTCTAACTTCTGAACCAAAACATCTTGACCATCAAAACTCAAGCTCCTTCCTGCCAGATTCCCAACTACAAACATGTGCCTCTCTGTCTTTCAGAGTGGATCTATCGAGGGTTTCCGTGAAAAACATTTTGAACTCATATTTTGTCCTGAATCTTCATTTTTATGTCCATGGAGAAGTTTCAAACAAATTAAGTCAAACTACAAAACATAATAAAAATTTTAAGTACCTTTTAGAATAATGCAGGGATTCTTGAATTTGCTCATGTATCCTAAGATACCCAATAGTTAATATTCTGTCATCATTTAATTGGTGAGAAGACGTTAATTGTTAAGAAAATGATTAATCATTTGAACTTATCACTATTACTTATGGTAATAAGGAAGAAGTCAACCATACTTTAGTGTGTTGTGCACTACCCAGTTCTCCTCCTGCACTGATAGTTTCACAACTTTGCAGAGTTGAAAGTTACTACTCTAGTCTTCATTAAATAGGCCCAAAATAATTTGCTAGAAACAGTTTTTAATATAAGTAGAAATAGCCTAACATATATGAAAGCACTAAACTGGAACTCAGAAAACTTGTTCTTATTCCAGGATCTATAGATTTCAGCCCTGGTGTGAGCATTTGTGCAAACTTCCCCTCTAAATGCCAGGTCTTCAAGGAGGCACAAGAGATATACATAAATAAAAAACAGGCTATGGGGAGAAGTGAATAATATAACAAAGGACAGAGCTGCTGTGTTAGAGTTCTTTTGGCTTTGAGGAGGAACCATCCCAGTCCAGTCCACAGTGAATACTTGTAAATAGATATGTTTTCACACATGGGCTTTACCTACAAACTTCAAATCCTTGAAACTCTAGGCAGAAGATATGTTACAATGGCGCCACCTTCTGGATACTGTCCAAAACACATATTTTCTTCATATTTTTCTCCCACTCAGAATTCCTCAATGGCTCCCTATTGTTGACAGAAGAGTCTAAAATCTTCAGCATTCAAGGCCTTTTATAATCTAGCACAAGTTTATGTTCAGGTCTCATCTACTGACACTCTACATGGGTAATCTGTGCTACTCGCCAGAATAAATTCAGAATTGTCTGCATTCTAATGTTCAAACCTAGCATTAATTCAATGCAGTTAAGCCAGAGAGAAACACAAAGCAGTTTAGGGGATTCAGGGCCAGAGTCTCAGTTCGAAAATGGCTAGCAGGTATGGGATGTCCCCATACCTACATTATGCAGGTCACTCAGTGCTCACAACAAGACAGCTCTTCTCTGTGGCTATTTAGAGGTTTAAATAGAAGCAAAGTTAGCCATAGATAAAACAGATTAAAGGACATAAGTACACACAAAAAATGTACATAATAAAAATAAATATAAGGAAACAGATGGCTAAATTCACAGATGATCAAAAATGCATGGTAAAGTCAAGCAATATTATGTTTGTCCATCAAACTTGTAAAGATTCTTTTCACACTGATGGTGATGCCATGTTGGTAAGGGCCCAGGAAATAGGCAACCTCATCAACTTCTGCAAGGCAGCATTGCTGGAGGGCAATCTGCAAACATTCAGCACAAGCTGAGAACTGTCCTTACATTATAATCCTGAAATTCTATTTTAAAACTTTACTTTAGGATATTATCATAGTTTTATACTAAGAAATATCTACTGGAATGGTAATTATCACTGCAACATTAATTATTATAGAGAAAACGTTGAAATAAGTTGCACGGCTAACCATAGGAGATTTAATATATTCATATAATAAATTTAAATAGTCATTAAAACTGTTATTATGGCAAAAGTGTCCATTACATGTCTATTGTTCATATTATGCTATTAAATGAAAAACAGATTAAAATCCAATGTATTCTGTCTGATTCTATTTTTGTTTTTTAAAATGCGTGCATAGAACGATAATCAGAATTACTACACAAGATCAGTGGTGTCTTATTCAGGTGGCAGCAGTATAAATTATTTTAGTTTTATTCTTTCTCAAATTTTAAAATGTATTATAATAAATCATATATTTCTTTTATAATCATACTAGTTTTAAGAAAGAAAATGATAATAAAAACCCAATAAAAGCAAGATGTCTATTAAGTGGTATCTGTATATAATATTCAATTTAACTGAATTCCGCTTGTCATGATTTTTGGTTTTGGTCAGTGCCTACCACAGCTCAAAGTCTCTGGGATACCTAATATTTCCTTCTTCACTACATCCAATGTGGGTGTGGGTGTGGTGAAATGGTACCTGAACAATAGCAAGTAAACCCTGTAACTGAACAAAGCCTTCTGCAAAGCAACATACACGCTTGTATAAAGAGCCAGAAAAATAGTTATGTGTTTGCACCTGATAATTCCATTATAAGGGGATTCCATTCTGACATAATTACCTTGAAAGAAGGCAAATATCCATGCTCAAAAATACTTATTGCTGAGTTATCATTAATAATGAAAAATTTGGAAACAATCTAAATATCCAGTAATAGGTAAATGGTTAAGTAGATCCAATGGAAACTGAAGTACTAATTAAAATAACTCTTATGGAAATGACATAGCAGGATGATATATGCCCATGGCATAATGTTAAGTGAAAATAAGTAGAACAAAATGCAGTTGGCTTCCTCTGATTATGAGTACGTAAAAATAAGTCTGCATGCAAAGAAAGAGGAGATGAAAATATGTAAAGAGAAGACATAACAATCAAAATTGTCTTGCATTTCATTGTTTTTCTTCTCGAAATGAAAGTCAGCTACGCTCTTTTTAGGTACTAAATCCCTGCCTCAAATGAGTGGCTAGAATGAAAATCCACAGTTGCCCAGTGCCATGAAAAATTATGAGAATCTGAAGGTTCGAGCAACAGCAGAAACACTTTGTGTCCACGACAGCTTCCTAAACAAGTCTGCTCAAGGAAAAACTCCATTCTCTGGTGGGTTTTTCAAAGGATGAGATTTGTCTGCTCAAACAAACTATTTTTTAACTCTGATGTCACAGAACAATATATAGGGCTCTAACCTTTATTCTACACCCGAATTGATTCAATGACTAGAGATTTTATAGCAGGAACTTGGATCTTCAGTTTATATAACTTAATCCCTTTGTAATTTTCTCTTATACAGAGACACCCTATTTTGGAGAGCAATGGACAAACCCTCCCTAAGTGACCCAGGGCATCCAGATCCAAACAAGGAAAGAGATTTAAAGAAAGAGACAAATTAGCCTTTAATAGAAGGAGGAATGAGCCAGCTCAGTGCCGCATTCTCTGGAACAGCAGATCCTCTAAGGACGTGGCTCCGCTCTCAAGGAGGTTGGCCTGGCAACTCATTTACACACTCCACTTGGGGGAAATTCTTTTCAGCACTAGCCAACATGCCGACCCAGGCTCCTTTGCCGAGCAGCCTTGAAAGCTTGCACACATTTAGAGAAAATACTTTCAAATGACTCTGGAGTTCTGCTTTATGTTTCATATTCCTTTGAACTTATTACCTCTTTACAATGTCTTGGACTATTAGTTTGGGAACATTTAAAGTTAATGACTATATGGAAAGTAAAACAACACTTTGATGTTGCCCAAGTCATTCATTTCTCTTTCATACACAGGAGGTTATAGAAGGGCTGGGTGATGCCAGACCAAGCCATTTCAGGAATAAATAACGTATTTGGGGGTCTATATAGATTGTTGCTCACGGGAAAATGAGAATAGATCAGCTCTGGAATGTCTAAGGGAACCAAGGCCATGATTAATGAGGGTCAACTTTAAAACCAGAGCACACACAGATAGGATTACTTCACACAGAGAGCAGAGTCTGTCTGACCCAGGCTACCCTAATGCAATCTCCTGAGGCACATCATTCACAAATCTTGCTGGTTTCAGGGATACACTGACAGTAAAAGAGATACAGAGAGAACTTCCTTTGGCCATAGGGAGACAGGACCAAAGTGCCATAAATGCAATGATGATGGCTATTAAGGCAAGTTGGTAAGTATTTCTAGAAGTTCAAAGTTGAAGTTTTGGTAAAGCACAGTATACTCTTGCAGATGCTAGTCATTGCTGCTACTTTTTTTTTTTACTTGTTTGTTTCTTATTTCTACAGATAAGAGCCTGGAAGCTGTTGTGAGATAGAGTTTCCTGTGGTATGTAAGACACTTAGAAGTGGAAATAGAGTCACAGGACCAGAGAGCCAAAAGAAGGGGGAGACCTGCTCATACTAGATTTCTTAGATGGCCCAGTATGAGTTTACCAAAGGAGAAATAGAAACCACTCACAAGAAATGGCCTTAATCTCTTCAAATAAACAACGAAGGAAAGCTGACCAAGGACAGAGACTCTAAAACACAAGAGGGACCCAAAAGGTATTCAGCAGAAATCCTAGAACACCATTCCTTATTCTCCTTTCCAAAACAGCTAAATGTGTATTTGCTGAAGGCAACTACATGTGTGGAGAACAATAAAATGATGTCTTCTTTCATGGAGCTTATGGAGTTAAAAGACCACAATTAATATATTTAAGCAATTGAGAACAAGAGACAACACTGCATCTGGGCATGGTGGCTCACACCTGTAATCCCAGCACTTTAGGAGACCAAGGCAGGAAGACCGCTTGAAGCTGGAGTTTGAGGCCAAGTTGGGCAAGAAATTGAGACCCTGTCTCTACAAATACATACATACACATATACCTATACATACATATATATATATATATATATATATATATATGAAAATTAGCCAGGCATGATGGCATGTGCCTGTAGTCCTAGCTACTCAAGAGGCTGAGGCTGGAGGATCACTTGAATCCAGGAGTTCAAAAAAGCTGTAGTGACCTACGATCACACCACTACACTCTAGACTGGGTGACAGAGAGTGAGATGCTGTTTCCAAAGAGAGAGAGAGAGAGACAACACTGCATTTGTTATTCAGTCATTGAATAAATATTTGTTAAGCATCTATTGTGTGCTTCGTATTGATCTAGACACTGGGACACAATGGTGAAAACACGGACAAGGTCCCAGTTCTCATGACATTTATATTCTAGTGTCTGTGTGGGGAAGAGATACATAATAAACAAGTAACAATAAATGAAGATGATTTTAGTTGTTAAGAGCAATAAAGAAAATGGAGAAGAGTGGCATGGTTGTGCTTGAATGATAGAGGATGAGTGAGGATGGAGTAATTTAGACTAAAGGATTGGAGGAATTCTCACTGAGAAAGTGATGCTTGAGCTAAGACTGCAAAGATAGACCTGTTAAGATAAACGAGAGTGTTTACAGGCAGGAAAACCATATGCAAGAGCCCTAAGGCTAACAATAACCTTATTTGTTCAGAAAACACAAAGAAAGCCATTGTGGTTGGGGCTTATATTGCAAGGAGGAGAAGGATGGAAGAAATTTTCAGAGAGGTCTATAGGGACATGGTCATATAAAGCCTTTTAGGTCAAGGTAAGGTGCCTCAATTTCATTTCAAGTGCAATGGGAAGACATTGGAGAGTTTTAGGCAAATGATTAACATTGTTCATGTTTGCAAGAGATCATAATTACTGCTCTGCCGAAAATAGATGGTGGAAGGAATGGGATAGAAGGAGGGGGACTAGTTAAGAGATAACACAATTCTTCAAGCAATAAATCATGTTGTTTTGGACAAGGTGCTACTAGTGATGTGGAGAGAATCCAGATATGTTTGGCAGTCGGGCCTACAGAACTTGCTGTGGAATTGAATAGTGGTGCCTTATACTGAGACAAGAGGCCCAGGCAGGAGCTGGCTTAGAAACGCCAACATAGTTTTGGGAGTCTTATGAAATCAGAATTGTGTGATTCTTACTGGTTCTGGTCGTCTGGAAGAGTTTCTAGAAGGTAAACCTGAGTTTGACCTGTCAGGATGGGTAGAATTTGAATACTTAGCGATGTGTTGCTGAGATTGATTTTAGAGTGACTAAAATTCGTTGCTTCATTACTTCACCAACTTCAGTCATTAGTGATTTATTTGGCCACATCAAATGTACTTTTACTGAACATATTTTTAAAAATTGAAGCCTCTTCTTTTTGTTCTTAAATATTTTTTTAAATACACATCATGCCAAGGCACCGATTGGGCTGGAGCTCCTTGAACACTGCACTGAGTTAAACGCCATCAGCCACCCTATTCTTAAAACCAATGCTGTGTGCCTTCGTTAGCACTCACCACCCTGAATCAAACGTTCTGTTGACTTGTCTTTGTCTTTCTCTCCCAATAGATTTTAAGTCCCTTGAGAGAGTGTAGCTAAAATATTTTTGTTTTGGTATTGTTTTAAGGAGATGTGAGACAAAATCATGTCAGTTTCATTACTGCCATCTTCAACCTTGTCTCACTTGGAGGCTGTTAGTGGCAGTGGATCCATAGGGGCCTGCAGGAATCTGAGTTCTTGCCTCCTCAGAAGAAAGAATCGGACAGAGGGGGATAAGGCAAAAAGAGAGTCTGAGGCAAGTTTCAGAGCAGGAATGGAAGTTTATTAAAAAGCTTTAGATCAGGAAGGAAAGGAAGTAAAGTATGCTTGGAAGAGGGCCAAGCGGGCAACTTGAGAGATCAAGTGCTCTATTTGACCTTTGACTTGGGGTTTTATACGTTGGCACACTTCCGGGGTCTTTTGTTGGGGTGGGCTGTCTGCATGCACAGTGGCCTACTAGCACTTGGGAGGGGAGCAAGCTCAGTTGGTGTGTTTATTGGAGTTGTACACACGCTCCATAGAGGCATTCTTTCCTGACAAGTCAAATGTTTCTAGGAGGTGATATACCAGTTAAACTCTGTCATTTTGCCTCTTAGCAAACATGTGTGAGCCCACTCACCCAGCTCCTGAGATCTTACTGGGAAGCTACTGGTTGCCAGTTTCAGGTTTTTCCTATCTATTAAGACATTGCCTTTCCCTGGCACCAACTGCAACCAATTATTATTTTAGAGAGGCAGTTAACAACCGCCTGACCATCACCTGATGGTCACCTGATATTCCTGGTGCGTGTGGTGGTGGGGACGAGGGGAGCCCTCTCCTGCTCTGCTCATGTCTGTCTAGTTACCTACTGTAACAAGACCATAGTATTGGGGACAGAGCTAGCACTCAGCAAAGACATGTTGAATAAATAATCCTTCACAAATCATCATCTCATGGTCTGAAGTTCTGGATTTCAATCTCTTGATTCCAATCTGTCTTGAGGTGAATGGTGAGTCCCCAAAAGCTGTGTTCACCTGAAGTCTGTGTGATCTGCTTTGTAAAAAGGGCCTTGCAGATGTAATTAAATTAAAGATCTTGAGATGAGATCATCCTGGATTACCTGGGTGGGCCCTAAATATTGTGTTGGTGCAAAAGTAATTGTGGTCTTTTCCATTGAAAGCAATGGCAAAAAACCGCAATTATTTTGTACCAATCTAATACAATGTTGTCCTTATGAGAAGAGGAGAAGACACAGAGAGAGAAGGTCATTTGAAGTCTGAGGCAGATGTTGGACTTACATTGCCACAAACCAAAGAACACCTGGGACCACCAGATGCTGAAATGGACAAGGAAAAATTCTGTCCTAGAGTCTTTTGAGGAAGCATGGCCCTGCCAACACCTTGATTTTGAACTTCTAGCCTTCAGAACAATTGGACGATGAATTTCTGTTGTTGAAGCCCCCAAATTTGTAGGAATTTGTTATGGCGGCCCTAGGAAGCTAATATACAATCTTCATGCCCAGCTCATTTTAGATCTCAGTGAGGAGCTTCCTGCCCTATTTAGCAGGAAGAGAACGGGGGCAAAATGGGTGAGGCACCTGGGGTGAAACATCTCAGGAGGCACTCAAGCACAGGCATGTCTCCTACTCCTGCAGTATCCGTGATTACATATGCAGGCTTTAAGAAATCAAGACAAAGAAAATACGGGTGTAACTTTGTCTTGAATTCTAAGTTCAAGTTACATCTACAGATCTATTTTCAAGCTGATAGACGTAAGACATTCTGATTGCAGTCAGAGTACCTCAGAATGCCCCAGAAATGTTCACGGTGGCCTCATGAGGGACAATAAACTGCAAGAGTGTCTATCCAAACAGTTGGCCAAATTTTTCAAACACTCGGACACCTCATTTTGAGAAGAAGAAAAAGGAAACAGTCTCAGCCTGAATAATAATTCTGTTACTATTACCCCCTAATTCTTCTGGGTGTGCCAGACATACATGGCAAGGAAGAGAGTTGGAGAGAAAGCAGGGATTTCTGAATGTGACAAATAGAAACCCAGAAAAGAGTTGCATAAAGAGAAAAATCATAGATGGAGCCCAGGAAGTTAACAGCATCCTCAGCCAGCATGGTTATCAATCCAAGTGGTGACTTGATCCTCCTTTGTTTTTCTCCCCTATCTGCTCCTTGATGACATAGAGTAACTGACTCCCATTTTAAGCCAATTAACCAGAAATGTAAGTTTCCATTTCTAGATTTTAAAATGTTAGAAATTCCTCTCTCTCAGTTGTAATGGAGCTAGAGTTGTTGTTTAAATCAAAGTTATGTTTTGTAAACAGCTACTCAAAGGAAAAAGAAAGCCAAACTTCTCTCCCTGAAGATTCCAACCAGTTAGGAAGACAGCAATATATAAAATGAGCCAGATGATCTAATCTCTAAGTGTTCCATACAAAGTTTTATATGGCTAATCTTTCACATCCAACTTTCAAAATGTCTCCAACTGGCTGACCAAGGAGAATTACATTTTTTTGCCCTTAAGTCCATGATTATGTGGCAGAAGGGAAGACCCTTATCTTTTGTCTTCAGTTTATTTTTTCAAGTTCTTTTTTTTTCATGAGGAGACTGTGTACAAGTAACTGTTGGGTTAAGTCATTGCTGTCCAGTGATGTGAGATTTCAAGTTGGTAGTGAGCAACAGGATATCTTCTGGAGCTAACACACTCATTTACAGATGAGCCAGCTGAGCCCCAGCATGAAGAAAAGACCTCTCAAGGTCATCAGAAAATCAGAGAAAAGGAAGACTTGTTGCACACCTCCTTTTGCTAGCATTTTATTCGATATGTTATCTGCATTTTTTATTTAAATCTCCTGATAGTCTTGTGAAGTGAGTATAATTATTGTCATGTTATAGGTGATAATCAATAATAAGATTCCAGGTTTGGAAATCTTGCAAAGTATTATCTTTGCAAAGTATTATCTTGCTTCATTTCCAGCCCCCTGTATGTGGTCCTTTCCTCATCTGTTCATCTATTCATTAAATTAAAACATCTTGTGTAGAAGACAAACTTTATGATTCCTGCCCTCTGATATTCACTCCTTGCATAGTTCCCTTCACTGAGTATGGGTGGGATCTGTGACTTGCTTGTAAACAGTAGAATATGGTCAAAGTGATGGGATATCACTCAATCATGTGATGTGATTATGTCACATTGTATGACTGTCTTGCTAGAAGACTGGCTCTAGAAACTTTCTCCCTTACTGACTTTAAAGATGTAAACCGTCATGTTGCAGAGGGTCTGTGAAGAAGACCACATGACAAGAAACTGCAGGTGGCTTCTTAGGGCTGAGAGTGGTCCCTGGGTGACAGCCAGCAAGAGGCCAAGACCATACTCCCACAACCATACAAGATGAATGCTGCTAACAACCTGAGTGAGCTGAAAAGCAGATTCTTCTCCAGTTGAGCCTTCACATGGCAACACAGCCTGACCTACATATTAAATTAAGCCTGTAGCAGAGAACCCAGTTAAGCTGTGTCTTGACTTGACGCACAGCAATTGTGAGAGAGTGAATGGGCATTGTTCTAAGATGCTACGTATATGGTAACTTGTTAACTCAGCATAGAAAAATAACACAACATCTATTATAACGCAGGTCCTGGAGATTCAAAAATCAGTAGCAGATTTCCTTTACCCTCAAGTTAGGGGCAGAAGAGATAAATAGGTAAACATTACATAGTTACAATGCACAGAAATAAATTCTATAAGCTTTTGTATAAAAGTTTGTGACAGTGGACAGGAAAGATGATGTGAGAAAGTTTTCTACCAGTACTTCCTTCTTCTCTCTCCAGCCCCCGAAGTCTCCTTTCTTTTTATCTCAACTTTCTCTTAAATTCTTCATTCCCACTGATAGGCCATGACTAATGACTCAAACTGACCTTTTATTCTTTGTGAGATACAGCAGAGAATGTGCTCATCAACCTCTGTGAGTTTCCTATCCTTTGGCATTCAGTATAGTACATTTTGTGGACTTTCTTAAGTTGGGTGGTGCCATGTGATTGAGTTCCAGACAATATTATTGTGGTATAGTAAAATGCACTATATTTGTGCCTGGCTCCTCAACTCTCATACAAGGTCTTTCACACCAAATGTAGAGGATGTGGTAGAAGACTTCATGGCCCTGGAAATGGAAGGACCCTGGGTTCCTAAACCTCTTTGTGGAAGCATGCCCATCATATAATCATCTCACTATAGTATGAGCAAGAAATAAACATTTATAGCATTAATCTACTGGGATTTGAGTTGTTTTCTACAGCAGTTATTCAGTAGGGGATACCAGTTAATTTCAACTAGTATCAAAGATAATTAAAGGGATGGGATCAATGGATAAAGACTTTTCATTGTGTTTAGCTATCTTTGAGATTTCCAGTATCCTACAGTTAAACCTCAGTTAACATATTTACTTCTGTATGACTCTGAGAGTGGGGACAAAGGTATGGAGGGACTTAGCTATTTATCATCTTGATCCAGGCAAGTAGCAAGGCCAGTGCTCCAACCTTTCCAACAGCATGGGCTCTCCCTCACTAGCAAATCTGTGGTCCAGGCTTCCCAGTTTATTTCTAGCTGGTTTCTAGGACTATACTTCAGGGGAAAAAGCTTTTCCAGGGGTTATTATAAGCTCTGGGAAAAGGGCCAGGATGTTTCATATTGTAATGGAAAATAATCTTTCTACCCTCAATCTGCACATTTTATTTAAGGTGTGAAAAATGCTTTCCCAGCTTCAGCCAAGAGCATTCAGGTCTCCATGGGGATATGGGCTAAGGAGGTGGAGGGCAATGATTAGGTGAGGGAGAGAACACTCCCTGCAGCAGTTTCCAGGGGAGCAGCAAGCACGTAGTCAAAGGAAAACAATACTTGACCTCCAGTCTTGCTCATAGTGCTTGTTTCTGCCTCACCCTGGTGCCCAGAAGTTTCAGCTCACACTTGGCCTGGAACCAGGGGGAACTGAGTGGAGGGGCAGTTTCTCTGTGGACTTGGAATTTATAAATCTGCAGTTCTCCCTCTAGAGGTTGATATTATCACCAGACCATGGGCCAGCAAGGACCGGGGGACCTGGTCAGGATTAGTCCTCGGAGGCAGTAGACCAGCACTCACAGATCCCCATCTTTGACAGCATTGGAGAAGCTAGAATTACATTATTTTTCAAAAGGACAAAGTAACAAAAGAGCTGGCTGACTGATATGTGCAGTAGGTAAATTTTTCATCTTTAGTAATTCTGGATCCTCATTCAATGATTTCATTTTTTTAGATATTTGTGATCAATATTACACCATTTCCCAACAGTGGTTTCCAGGTGAGTAGATAATTATACAACAGCTAAAAATACAAAGTCCATCAGATACAATGATATGATATTAGGGGGGTATTAATATGGCAATCTTTCTCTAGATCATGTTTAATATTTTTTAAAAATGTAAATGAATAATTAATAATGTTCTAAGAAATAAATATATATTTTAAAAGTGTGATTCCACTTAGGATCATTAACCTACATTTTTTAACCTTATGAAGTAAGATTGAATTTTTCTAAGATTTTAAAAATAAATTGAAGATACAGCTCCAGGTTACAGATCTATTTTACTTAGAAGAAACTGTAGCTGAGAGTGGTTACTTCACAAGTCCATGCTCTGCTGGGGGTAGCAGAGTTGGGATTTTTAAATTTAGGACAAACTACTTTCTTACTTGGATAAGTCAGTTGAAACTTCAGGGCTTCTTGTTCTTCAATGAAATGAAGTCCTATTATGGTATTCCACAATCACTCCAACATTCATCCCACTGAGGGAGTTTCTCCTCCTGGTCCACGTTGCTTTCCCTTCTTTCTAACATGAGGTGGGCACCTCTCATTTGAATATATAATCAGATACTACCTAGCTGCTTCATGAACATAGCTTTAACTAGATATGACTGGCACTTAATATGTCCACTGACAACTTATTTTGCCAAACACTCTGCAAGGCATTTTACAGGCATTATTTCAGTTGATCCTTACAACTAACTTGGGAAGAAAATATTATTAGCTCCATCTTACATGTGAGAAAACAGAGACTCATAGTGATTTAGTTACTTGCTGGAGATCATAGCTAGAAAGAGTAAATGCTGGAATCCACTGACTACACTCAGTAGCTAAAACCACTTTTATCCTTCTTAATTCCTTTATTCCTACTAATCTCTACATCTACTTCATCAGCTAATTCTGCTGACTCTACCTCAAAATAGATCCTGCATCTGAGCAATTCTTGCCATCTTCTCTAACACCCTAATTCAAATCACCTACATTTCTTGATTATTCAGAGAATTCATTCTCCACACAGCAACCAAACTGATCTTTAAAGAAGCACACCATGACAAAAACCCAAGAGTTTCCCATTTCTCTTAAAATGTATATTTTCTCATAGCCTATCATGTCCTTATGACTCAGCCCTTGGCTAAATGTATCATATTATAATAGTAAACAATCCTCCTGCTCTCAGCCTGCACATTTAACTTAAGGGATATGTTATGGGCTGAATTGTGCCTCCTTAAAATCCATGTTGAAGTCCTAACCCTCAATACTTTAGCATGTGACACTATTTGGACATAAGGCTTTTAATGGGGTAATTAAGGCAAAATGACACCATGTTGGTATTCCCTAGTCCAATATGGCTGGTTTTCTTATAAGAAGAGGAAATGAGGATACAGAAAACATAGACAGAGGAATGGCCGTGTGATGACACAGGGAGAAGGGAGCCATCTGCAAACCAAGGAGAGAGGCCTCAGAAGAAACCAACCCTGCTGACACTTCAATGTTGAACTTCTTCTAGTCTCCAGAACTGTGAGAAAATAAACTTCTATTGTTTAAGCCACCTCATCTGTGGTATTTTTTTATGGCAGCCCTTGCAAACTAATATAGTGTTAAAAACTGTTAACTCGGCTTCTACCAGGAGCACTCAGATCTCCATGGAGACCTGGTCTAAGTGGGTGGGGAGCAATCATGAGGATGAGAACCCTCCCTGACACAGCCCTTCCCTCAGCCATGAATGTCCTGCCTTCCTGGCCTACATTCTTTTCTTGAACTTAATCCATTCCTGCCTGTCTTTTCACTGGATGGTCACTCTGGCTACACAGCTTGGCACGGGTGTCTTTCTCTTTTAACTCAAGTACTGGAGGGTCTTTCTGCCCATCCTCAGTCACCCTCCCACCACTGTTTTATGCTTGACTTTCTTCCTAGCACTTGTCACCTGCCAATGTGATTGATGTGTTTATTTGCTTTACTGTTTCCCCTGAACAGTTTCATAAGAGCAGTGCCTGACTCCTCTGTAGCAGCTCATTGAATCTTTGTTGAATGACTAAATGGGTTTTCCTGGATTGGGCTCTAAGTTCCTCAAAGGCATATTTATAGCTTATTTATCTTTGTACTCCCATTTCCCAACATAAAACCTGTCACATAGTAAGTTCTCAATAAAAGCAAAATAAATTAAATGAAGTCACTAAAAACACTGCATGAATGTTGAATGAATGAAATGAAGATGTTTTATATACATACACACACACATACACACACATATATGGCATGCTTATAAGTCTCTTCCTTTTAGGCTTTGAAGTTAGAAAGAAATACGAGAAATACGTACAGAAAGGAAAAATCTGTTCTTAATAAACCACAATATTGAATTTTTGCCCAGAGTGTCAGTAGATGTGGAGTGAGGAAGTGATCTGGAAGGTCAGGGAGCCTGTCTCAGCCCTTTCCTAGTCACCAGCATCATCTCAGAATGTTCCTGGAACAATTTGCCAATCTCTCTTTGAAATTGGAAATTGATTAATTCCTTATTTCTAGTATAAAAAAGGAATCTGAACTCTAGAGAAGGACATCATTATGTTCATATATCTTAAAACACCATGAACACAAAAACACATGACTGACTTCTTGACTGTATCCATATCACTCGGCCACTTTAACTTCTATGAGAATCACTTAGTTGCTACTAACTTCAATTGTTGTTCATTTAAACCCCTCTTATATTTAGATACACTTTTGATGTACTCAGATTTGTGGTATGAAAAAGTAGGTTTAATGACTGTGGCAGAGACTAGAGAGGTGGTTGCCAACCCTGTTTCCCTTTTCTGGGCACACAGCTAGATCAGATTTTCTAGCTGTAGTCTAAAGATAATTAGGTCATATGATAGTTTCGGAGCAAAGAATATGATTAGAGCTGTCAGGTGTAACTTCTCAACTAACACAAGAGCCTCACTATATTCTCTCTCTCACTTCTTTTTCTATGGGGATCATAGAGGCCAAGTGACAATGATGTTAGTTCTATCAGATAGAATAGGTTTGGGTCCCAATTTGAGGGAACAGAAATTACAGCCTACAAGCCTTGGACTATGACACACCAGCAAGAAAACAAATTATTTTAAGTCTCTGATATTTTGGTATTATTTGTTATGTCAGTTTTGTGATACTTGTTTTTACTAATACAACGGCCTTAACAGAATTGCTTAGGTTGATTCAATTTAATGTCAGGAATTATATATCTTTTTATTTCAGTCTGTATTAAAAATCAATTGGAAGTTCCAATGCACATGTCTTCCTATCATGAATAATAGTAACATAATAAATGTCTTGGAATGTAATAAAATTATGTACTTTCAAAAATTTAATATTTTAAATATTTTTTATGTTTATAAATATATATGCAATTTTAGATTAAGTATGCATGGGATCCTGATTATTTTTAAATTATTAAGATAACTCATTTACTGGCTGGACCAGGAGATGCAGGGATATTAGGATTTTTTAACTTTAGTAGTATAGTAAAGTCAGACAGGAAATGCGATCTTAGTGTAATAGAGCTCCTAAAGTGTTGTCGTAGCCCATGCTACATCCTCTTACTGATGTCAACAACGTGATAAATGCTCATGATTGTAGGTCACTCTGTAGGTCACCCATGCACTTCTGTTCTCCATTAATGAGTTCTAAGATTACCTGGAATCAGTTGTTTTTATTCTCAAACCTGCTTGTGATAGTTTTATTTGCCATTATATTTATATAGTAAGATTGAAAGTTATCTAAGTGATAAAATATGAATGAAAAAGAATTATTGTTTAAATGAAAACTAGATAAAGGCAAGCTACTAAAAATAAATTTCAGTTAAATGGAGTAGGAGCAATACAAATACAAAAGATTGTGGGTGCAGGGAAGATGTATCAGTTCTCTTTTGCTGAGTAACTAACCAACAAAAATAGTTATGGCTTAAAACAATAGCAATTTATTTTCTTGATTATTCTGCAAATCAGTAATTTGGGTTGTGCTAAACAGCAATTCTTTCTGGGTCAGATTTGGCTGATCTTAGGTGGGAGGGCTTGCTAATATGTCTACAAAAAGCTAGTGGGTTGGCTGAGATCATATGGTCTCTCTCAACATGATCTTTTATCCTCCACAGGCTAGCCCAAGTTTTCACATGAGAGGTTTCAGAGTTCTAATAGCAAGAATGCAAGCCCTAATCCACTAGCGCATTTCAAGCCTATCAATATGATGTTTGCAGCTAATTGCACCATTAACCAAAGAAAATCATATGATATAGGCCTGTTGTCAGTATGAGAGAGGACTACCAAAAGGCGTGAATATTGAGAAATGAGAACAATTTGGGTAACAACTACAATCTGCCCACCAAAAAAGGACAACCAAGTAGTTCTTCACTTGAGTGACTTAACAAGTGTCTTTAATTTCTTGTTTCTTTTTAGAAAACCAAAAAAGCCCCAACCCTGAATATCATAGATTATATGAATTAGTTTGTGCCATATATATATATATATATATATATATATATATATATATAAAATTTCTTACTCAAAGCTGCTGATCCTGATTATGCAAAGCTTGTCTGCCATATTTATACTCTTGATGTACCATGGCAAAATTTCTGTAAACAGGGTTGAATAAATAGATGACAGAGAATACCTTATGTACCATTACACAAGTGAAAGGCGTACTTCAGACTTGGAATATACATTCACCAAATGTGAAAGACAATGGTTTACAAAGCTTACTATACAATGTAACCTTACCAAAATGATTTCTTTTATATTTTCTGTATTTAATTTTAAAAATTATGATAGTAATGTATGGTTGTTGAAACAATTGCTATAATATATAAGCATATTCAACACAAATTATCCCTTCTACCACCTTCATATTTACAGATATATTGAAATATTCCCAGTTGCTTTTTATTAAAATATAATACCATACATATTAGCCTACAAATTACTTTTTATACTTGGAAATATATCATAGATATTCCTATAAGTTTGTATCAGGAAACTGTGACTTTTTTCTAAAGTTTTATACTTATACTTACATTTTATATAAATGGTATCATATCCATGCTGGGTATTTTGTTTATTTCATTTCTATTTTTTATTGTGGTAAAATATATATAACATTAAATTTACTATTAGCTATTTTTAAATATTTAAATTTTTTAATTATCATGAATACATGATAGTTGTATATACTCGTGTTACATGTGATATTTTGATACAAGCATATAATGTGTAATGATCAAATCAGGTTGTTTGGGATATCTATCACCTCAAGCATTTATAATTTCTTTGTGTTAGGATCATTCCAGTCCCATCCTTTTAGTTATTTTGAAATATACAATAAATTATTGTTAATCATAGTTGCCCTATTGTGCTACCAAGCACTAAATCTTATTCCTTCTATCTAACTGTGTTTTTGTACCAATTAACCATCCATTCTATATTCCACCCCCCACTACTCTTCCCAACTGTTGGTAAACATTATTTCACTCTCTATTTCCATGTGTTCTTTATTTAGCTATCACATATGGGTGAGAACATGCAATATTTGTCTTCCTGTGCCTGGCTTATTTCACTTAACATAATGTCCTTCGGTTCCACATATGTTGTTGAAAATGACAGGATTTCATTCTTTTTCAGGTTGAATAATATTCCTGTGTATATGTACCACATTTTCTTTATGATGGACTCTTAAGATTGATTCCACATTTTGGCTATTGTGAATAGTGCTGCAATAAACATGGGAGTGCAAATGTCTCTTCAATATAGATTTCCTTTCTTTTGAATACACGCCCAGCACTGGGATGGCTGGATCATATGGTAGTTATATTTTTAGCTTTTGAGGAACCCCTAAACTATTCTTTATAATGGCTGAACAAACAATCCTGAGAAAACTGAACAAAGCTGTAGGTATTATATTACCAGACTTCAAATTATACTACAAAGCTAGAGTAACCAACACAGCATGTACTGCCAAACACACACACACACACACACACACACACACACACACACACACCAAGGGAACAGAATAGATAATCCAGAAATAAACTCATGCTTTTACAGTCATCTCATTTTTGACAAAGGCACCAATAACATACATTGGGGAAAAGGTAATCTCTTTAATAAATGCTGCTG